>NC_000023.11:78220117-78523148 GCF_000001405.40 Homo sapiens | reverse complement strand
GCCTCCTACAGAACTTTGAGTCAATTAAACCTCTTTTCTTTATAACTTTCCCAGTCTCAAGTAGTCCTTTATAGTAATGCGAGAATGGATGAATACAGTATTCAAAACATCATAAAACATTGATGGTACAACTCAATTATTACATATTCATTAATTCTATCTTTCTCTCTCTCTCCCCGTCTGTCTCATTTTCTCTCTCATTAAAACAGTTAGAAATATTGATGAGGAGATGAGAAGATAGTGAATGTTAACTTTGACTTACTTGCCACATGTGGCAACACTACCTATCTTTCAATGTCTGTTACAAATGCTACTTACATGTAAATGAGTAAAACCTCAATACCTACACTTGCCTGGGCCTGTATTTTCCTTCACTGGTTTTGATCTCTCCCTGCTTGAAACCTTTGAGGCTTGGAACTACATATCCTTTACCTTTGTATAACTATGTTTACTGTCTCCTATCTTCCACCGTAGACTCATTTTCCCAATGAAAGAGAAAACAAAGCTAGCTACCAAATAAGGAGGCAAAAAGTTTACAGTGGGCTTAAGGAAAAGTGGTAAAATTAATCTAAAAATTAAGCCCCTCTTATCTCCCTAATTATTTTTTACCCATTCATCTCTATTTACAAAATTATCTGCCTCCATACTCATCCTTATCTCTTTTTCCCTTGTGTCAAATGTGGAAATTCTCCCTTGACTAAACCCTTAGTGCCACCCCCTCTAACCTCCATCAAGTCCTTACCATCAGACATCCCCATCCATTTCTTCAACCTGTTAGCATGCTCAACTCTCTTTCAATCTATAACCTGAAAGAATAAACTTTCAGTGTTTCCATAGCCCCTACTTGCTATCTCCCTAACTCTCTCCTCTTTGAAACCATCAAACTTCTTGAAAGACTTGTCTACCTTCACTGTCACCACGTTTTCATCTTCCATTCTCTTAATTTATGCAGTCTGACTTCCACTCCCAATATTTCAAAGACACTACTTTCACTAAGGCTACCAATCACCTGTCAAATTCAATGTATCTTTTCAATCCTTCAGTTAATGGACTTCATTGCTGTGTTTGATACTCTTGATTATGCCTTCCTTGTTAATACATTATATCTCCTTAGATTCCACCATGCCACATTCTCATGCTTCCCTGACCTCTTGCTCTCTGCCTCCTGCATTGACTCCTCATCTTCACTTACTCCTAAAAACACTGGCATTTCCTAGCATTCTATCATCAGTCCATTTCCCTTTTCTATCTACATATTTGTATAAACTTTCTATCATCAGCCTAGATCTCCCTTTTCAGTTTCAGAATCAAATATCTATCTTCCTGCTAGATCTCTCTACTTATCTGTCTTAAAGATACCTTGACCCAGAGAAACACAAAAGTTTCGTCTGACTCTACCTTCTTTTGACCACCCTCTCCAAGTTCATATTTGATAGAAATCCTGACAATTTTACTTTATATGGACTTTTAAAATCTCTCTCCTTATCTCTTCTTCTGTTCTGTCTATCTTTACTTCCACTGACTTTGTTCAGGACTTCATCAACTCATACCTGGATCTTGCAAGAACTCCCTGTATGGACTCTTGAAATCCAAACTTGCCCCATAATATTTACGGTGAAGTGGTTAAATACAGGTACTCTTTAGTCAGACTGCCATGGTTCAATTCCTGACTCTATCACTTATTAGTGATGTGAGACACTTTACTTAACCTTCTCCCACCAATGAAGAGGAGACAGCAATGGTACCTAATTCATAGGGATGCTGTGAGGGTTAACTGTGTTAATATAGAAATAAAGCCCTTGGAGCTATGCCTGGCGTAGTGAGAGCTTCATAAGTGTGACTGTTGTTATAGTCAAACGTCATCAGATGACTCTACCGCTAAAAATTTCTCATCGATTTCTATAACCTAAAAGATATAAATTTTGCCACACACTTTGCCAATTCTCTGTTTCTTACACAAATTTATTTACACTATTCCCTCCCCTGGAAATTCCTTTCCTCCTAGGCTTCACCTGAATAACTACTACTTATCCTTTAAAACCCTGCTTACCTTGTAAGGTTACTGTCATTAGTAACAACATTGTAGTTATGGTTGGCTAATTTTAGGGGGCTGTGATTGTGTAGTCATTAAGACAATAGATTTTAGAAAAAAATTCAGTGGTTTCCATTGGTCATGCATGTCCTAGAATCTCTCTCATATTGATAATAATATATCAATTGGCAACAAATGGCTAATCTCATGTTTAATAATAGTGCTTATAGTAAATTTTTTATAATGAATAAATCAGATTCTATCATCACCTCTTTTCAGCTAGGATAGGTATGACTACTCTGTGCTCCTGTAATATCCCACATATATTTATCTGCTGCATTTACTCATAAATTTATAATTATTCATTTACTTGTACCCCTCTAAAACTATCAATGCCTTGTGGACAGGAAAGAGTCTTACACTGGATGACTATCATAATGCCTGGCATATAACTGATGCTCAGTAAATTGTGATGAATTAACAAATACTAAAAAGCATCTCTTTAGGTTCCTCTATCATTCATTCAACACACCTTTACCAGGTACCTTTTATGTGGCTGGCAGAAAATCTTTGCTAACCAGTAAAGATATAAATATAAATGAGACCTTGTCTGGATTACTAGGGACTCAAAGTCCCACAGAGAGCCACTGGTAAGCCACAGTGACCAAAAAGTCACTCTGTAGGACTTTGTACATGGATAATTACAGTACAGGGTGATAAGCACCATAAACCCATAGTAGCAGTGACTTCAACATCACCACTGCCCACTTGTTCTTCTGACCTTTCATTCTGGGCTCTTCCTGATGTACCTCTCTCACCTAATCTCTATCAAATACATCATTGGTAGCTCAGGTGGTGGAAGGAGTGGCAGCAGCCAGACATCCCAGCTTCTTGAAACCTCTCAGCATGCACCTCTTGGCCACTAAAATGCCCAAGAAAAAGGTCAGCTTAGCCTTACAGGCAGTGAAGGAAGAGCTGACGAGGAGATCAGCGCGGCTCTCAGTTACGTCTGCAACTGTAAAAGTGGAAACGGACCAGCCGCGGTGACTCACGCCTGTAATCCCAGAACTTTGGGAGGACGAGGTGGGTGGATCATGGGGTCTGGAGGTCAAGATCATCCTGGCCAACATGGTGAAACCCCGCCTCTACTAAAAATAAAAAAAAAATTAGCTGGGCGTGGTGGCATGTACCTGTACTCCCAGCTACTCAGGAGGCTGAGGCAGGAGAATCGCTTGAACCCAGGAGGCGGAGGTTGCAGTGAGCCAAGATGGTGCCACTGCACTCCAGCCTGGGCGACAGAGCAAGACTCCGTCTCAAAAAAAAAAAGGGGGGGGAAACGAAGCCAAAAAAAGAAGCAGGAAAGGATACATTTTCAGACAAAATAGTGCAAACAAAAGAAAAAAGGGGACAAAAGGGAAAACAGGCCAAAATGGTGAACCAAGAAACTAAAAAAAGATTTACCTGCAGAAAACCAAGGAGAGTCTAGCTGCCGATGAAGCCAGAGAGAAAGAAGCCACATCTGATTATTATCATATATCATGTCTTATCAGTGCTCCATGCCTCCATTCTTGTGTAATCCAGAGGAATATTTTTATCAACTATTTTGTAAATGCAAGCCTTTTAGTAGCTCTAGAAACAGTTTAAGAAGGGAGGAATTTCATCTCATCCTATTTTTTAAGTGTAAATGCTTTTCTTTAAGAGACAAAATCATTCACTCGTTTGTTTTTTGGTGCAATCAGAAAATAATGTGGGATATTGAATTTGGGGATGCTTTGATTGTCTTGGGTGTCAGCTTAACATTCCATTAAAGGGGGTTAGTTTTTATATCCTATAATAAAAAGCATACTATAAATGGCAATATGGAGTCACAGTCCTGTATTTAATATCTTGAACATTTTTAAATTACTTATATTCCCATGTTGTTTTCAGTAGAACTGTTTCCTAAAGAAAATCACCCCTTGATAATGGCTCTTCCTGTCATAATCATGCACTCTATATTATCTTTGGTCGTGGTAGCCCTACTTTCCTAATAACTTTGCTAATGTGCTGTGAAAGATTAAAAATTTGTGTATGTAGTATATATGCTATTAAATTTTGAATCAGTAGGATGTATGTAACAAGTTAACAACATTTGAAGATACTGGTACTTGATATCCTCTTAAGAAAAAATTGCCTCCAATTTTTAAGCTGGAAGATCACTGGAATAACTGTTTTGAAAAGAATTACAATACACAGCTTTTTAGATTTTTCATATGTATGTTAAGAATTGTGTACAAATTGAAATGTTTGTGTACCGGTCCTCAACATAACCAACAAAATCTCAATTGTGAAAGAAAAAAAACAAGTACATCATTGGTGTGCATTCTGAGGAGTTAGCACACCATCTGAAGTATTTTAGAGAAGAGTTTCTGGAAATATACAAAGCAGGAAAAGCACTGAGCAGTTACATCATTCCAGTGACCATCAGCCACTGAAACTGCAGAGAAAATATAAAGAAAGATAATTTTAATAACTTCAGTGGAGGTTTTCCATCACCAAGTTTCCATATTTTTAGTAAACACCATAAAATCCCTATTCCTATTCCATGTCCAAAGTATTACTCCTTCAAAAGCTGCCAATTTTGAATGATATATACTTTTCATTTTGTGTTCAATCACTTAAACTCATTCATTTAACATTTCATAAGGGCTTACTCTGTTGTAGACACTGAGGATAGAATAGTGTACAAGACAAACATGGCAGGCTTTCACCAAACTTACAGGAAAGCAATGGAAATAGTCAACTGATGAGTCAAAATCATAATACCATTGAATAAGTGTGTTTTACACAATATCCCCATTTCCACCTCTGTTAATGAGTGTTGATTATGTCACATTGAAAACCATTAAAATGTTTACCCATACTCTCATTAGACAATGAGCATCCCTGTGTTTTCTTGAGTAATATCTAGACACTGGAATTTCATTCATGGCATCCAAACATCTCTAGTGAAGGCATGGGCAGGCAGACAGCTAATCTAATTACCTAATTTATGGTAATCTGCTCATGGGTTCTCTTCTCTAATTAAATCTGCATTTTAGTATAGCCTTCTAGAGAGGTAATGCCCTAATACATAGCCTATAAAATTAATGCTACTAATTTCAGCAACTCTGACCAGTTTGAGAAGTCATAGAAGTATCTTGGGCCACCTCTCACATTCTGCCTTCAAGGAGTTTACAAGCGAAATAAAGATGAGGACACTGGATGCAATATAAAATAGTGAAAGACAGGAAGGTTAAAAATAAAGATAAAGGAAAAACAAATGCCCAAGAAGAAAAATATCCCTTAGTGATTATCATTTTCAAAAAGACTCGGATCACAAAAGACAACTATGAGCAGGTCATGTCTGAAATATTAATACTTTCCATTGACCCTACTGATAATCCTTTTACCCTGTATCTTCCCTTGATAATTCTTTTGATTTTTAGTTTCTGTGAGTACATAGCTCTTGTTCTTGTTTGAGGCAAGGATAGATTCCTTGTTTCCATCAAAAAAAAAAAAAACTGGAAATTTGTCCCTAGCACAAAAAGTCAACAATGATAATCTTGGTCAAGTCATGACATTTTATGTCTTTGCACAACAGAAAGGGGATTCCTTTATTAACAGTACTCAGAAGGAACTGGGTGAAACAGGAAACTGAGTAAGACAACTGCTGTTCAGAATTCTGTAGACAGTCATCTTCCCTTATCTGGGCTAGAAATACCACTTCAAAAACACCTGCATGAGTGAATGCGTGCAAATGAGTCACATGTCACCTCAGAATGACGTGGAATCCAGCAACTCCCAACCGCACCAAAGTAAAAATGAGTATCTTTAACTTTTATCAAGAACAACCTTAATATGTTTATTATCTTGCGTGTGGTAATGGATACATGGGTGTATGCATGTGTTTAAACCCATCAAATTGTACACATAAAATACATTCAAATTTTTGTGCAACAATTACACCTCAATAAAACTGTTAAAAAGAGAGATACAAATAATCTTTTTTTATAAAAAAGCAAAGTGAAACGTGATCAGCCGAATTAAAGATTGTGCATTTATGCTGTTTACAGTCGTTAAGCTGAATTGTGTGCATCCTTACACACAAAAAAGGAAATGCTTATTTACTGTCTTATGTGAAGGCCAAGTTAATATATTTTTTAAGCCAGACTATTCAAATTGAAAATGGAAACTGTAACACCAGAGATGGTAGGGTTGCTTATACAATTTAGATTTTCCAAATAGGACAATGCAGCCTCTGGCAAACATTAATTACAGCACAAAAAGATAACGATATGAAGGATAAAGATAATGATACAAAGTAAGATATGGAATCCTGCTTTCAATCAGTTTAGGGTCCAGTCAGAAAGAATACAAACATGCACATATGCGCACACACAAATCTGTCAATAAGCAATAGCAAGATTAAATGTTCAATTAGTACATTGGGGTGCAACAATTTAAGGCAAAAGTTATGTTCCCATCTGTTGTAAATTTGGTTATATTTTTTCTTCCCATCTAGTCCTATACATATGGTTATAGAAATTAGTTACAGAAGTGCTCAATGCTTCTAATTAGAAATTTTCAAAAAATATCTGTTATCCTTACATGATGGTGAAGACTCCAACCTAAGACTCTCCCTCAGTGGTGTAACTGAATGGTCTACAGGTGAATGGCACCAGGGCAAAATTCTGTTTATATCTTTTCTTCCCCATGACACTTTTAGCTAGTAAACCATGAGTAAGCCCTACAATCTACATGGGTCTGTAATGAATTTGTTCACAGCAGATTTCACAGGAAATATCTGAATTACCGCTTTTAATAACTTTTTGTGTAATCTGAAAAAGATAACACTTGTATTTTGCTGCATAACTCAGCAACTTCTTATTTCCCTTTGAAGATTTGAGGCAAGCAGTCTTCATTGGTTTGAATACCACCTAAAGTTTTGAACAAGTTAAGCCTGAATGTCTCAAATTCTTTGTAAAAGAAGACAGAATCTAAGTAAGTAATTGTATATAGATAATTAAAATCAATTAAAGTTGAACTTCAAGGTAGAGTAAAAGTTTTAAGGCTATTATACCATAAAATTTGAAAGTTCTATGTGTTTCTGTAAGCATCTGTGACAAAAGGCATGCCCTTTTTAAATTGTCCTTTTTTTACTGTGTGTGTGTGCACACGCATGTGCGAGCACATACATGTGTTCATGCCTGCATGCCCGCGTATGAGAGAGAGAAGTGGGCAGGATGGAAGGGAAGGACAGAAGGAAGAAGAGGGAGACAGAGAGGGAGAAGGAGAGGGACTGGAACAGGGAGAGAACACACAAAAACAGACACTAAACTAGAGTAGGTCTTTCCCTGAGGCTGAGGACTTTTAATCCAGAGGCAAATTTTATTCAGACTGAACATTCAAGTAAAGGCAATTTCCAAATGTTCCTAGTCTCCACAATGGAGTTTAAGTAATAATATAACTACCTTGTATCTGTGCAGCCCATTAACCTTCACATGCAGCTTTCTCAAAAAATCCAACATCCACAACAACTGCACACTGTGAGCTAGGCATTCACTTTTCAGATGGGAAAACTGACAACTAGTGATAAAGCCAGACCTAGCACCCACATTTATGGACTCCCGGTTAAAATATATTTTCACTAGGGCAGAAGAGAAGATTAAGTATGAATTTGCAATGAGTTGAGGAAAAGGGGCTAGGCCTGAGGCAACAAGCAGGTGAGAACCCTAAAATTTGAAGTTCAGCCATTATTCTTCCAGAACTGCTTCTTTGCTTAGAATATATTTAGTAGTTCATTTCTTAAAAGGCACTATGTACAACTTATTATGGCTCATCAACATTTTTCAGATCTAATTTTTGCTGAGTTGAAATGTTTGGCAGACAGTGGGGAATTTCCCTAACAGTATAATACCTAGGGTACAGCAACTCATACTTAGCCAAACTACTTAGTATCCTCAAACTACTAGGAAAAAGACTGTTGGCAGATTCTGACTCACAGTGGACTTGTTTGTTCTTGAGTATCTTACACTGGAGAATGATTGAGTGATGAACAGACCCTTGATCTATTTCAATACATGAGCTCTGGCACCTGTTCTTTTCTCCCTCTCCCAGAGCCAAGGGGCATTCTCAGCTTCATTCCCTGATTAGCAGAACAAAGCAGCTGATGGCAGAGAACAGCAGGGGGCTCTCATTTCTATGGAAAGGTAACAAACTGAAAAGAAAAGAAAAGAATGCTCTTGAATTAACCTTTGCATTAGGCCTCATAGACAGGCCTGCAAAATATTTCCAGACTGTGACTTTTCCTTTCTCAATTTCCTTGTTTATCTCGTATAGGGATTACAAAGTTCCATGTTTACAAGTTTCCACAAGGCCCTAAATTTCCCCAAAAAGAAAGGATATAGCAAAAGTCTTTAGCAGTTTAACTGCAATTAAGATTAAGTTCTCACCTCCTTCAAAAGGCCTTCCCAGAACATAATCGTCCCTCCCTCTCTCCCTTCCCAGGGTTCCTGTTGTATATTCAGTGCCTCTCATTTGGCCCTTTTCATAGATCACCATGTACCATGGAAGTAATTTGTGTAAATGCTTGAAGGTCCTAGAGGGAAGAGTTTTGCTTTTTCAGAGCTCTCAGCACAGTGCCTTAGACATGAGCTAAGCTGTCACCTTGAGGAATTAAAGAAATAGAAACACTGATGACAAGGATTTTGCTGTTGTTAAAGAGAAAATGTCATTATCTGGCACTGCAAATTTTTCCCCCCAAATTATTAAGCAATGAGTAATTCCCTGCCAGAAATCCAAAAGAAAACATCTAATGCCTTATGTTAACTCTAACTACACAACTCTCTAATTTAGGAGATTAATTCCCATTTGGTGAAATAACACATGGCTTCTGTCAGTAAATATATTATCTAACAGTCACTTAGAAACCGATGTTATTCATAGATTCCAGACATTGTATAAAAGAATGCCCTGCCCTGTTCTGTTTCTCTCTGACCACTGGTGCATGCAGCCCCTGTCACGTACTCCTTGCTTGCTCAAATCAATCACGACCCTTTCATGTAAAATCTTTAGTGTTGTGAGCCCTTAAAGAGGACAGAAATTGTGCACTCAGGGAGCTCGGATTTCAAGGCAGTAACTTGCCGATGCTCCCAGCTGAATAAAGCCCTTCCTTCTACAACTCGGTGTCTGGGAGGTTTTGTCTGTGGCTCGTCCTGCTACAATACATCCATTAAAATCAACTCTTTGAATCCAACCATTTAATTAGTCATGAATTCCTCCCCATATCTGCACTTTCTTGTAGTCCAAATTTCACCAGCTCATCCTACAAAACTAACATGAAATAGTTTATCGGATATCCCTCCAAACTCCATATAGGGTCTGCCCTATTTTTCTACTGTTACTATACACAAAGGCAGCCCCCTTTTAAAAAAATCCAGAAATTAGTGGGCACTGACTGACTGGAGTTGGGTAACAGAAGAAGATCAGAGAAGTAGAGTTTAGAAATGTGCCACATTCTCTGTCCATATTGGCATAACTCAAGTAGCAAAAGTTTTACAGAATTTTTTACATTGGAAGACTGAGTCACTCTCTAATCTCTTGTAACTTAAAAATATGCCTTCCTTATGCCTTTGCATCCACACAGCTTAGCTCCCACTTATAAGTGAGAACATACGATGTCTGGTTTTTGATTTATGAGTTACTTCACTTAGAAAAATGGTCTCCAACTCCACCCAGGTTGCTGCAAATGTCATTATTTCATTCTTTTTATGGCTGAGGCGTATTCATGCTATATATATATATACACTATATTTTCTTTATCCACTTGTTGAATGATGGGAGTTTAGACTGGCTCCACATTTTTGCAATTGTAAATTGTGGTGCTATAAACTTGCAGGAGCAAGTATCTTTTTCATATAATGACTTTTTATTCCTCTGGGTAGATACCCAGTAGTGGGATTGCTGAATCAAATGGTAGATCAACTTTTAGCTCTTTAAGGAATCTCCATACTGTCTTCCATAGTGGTTGTACTAGTTTACATCCCCACCAGCAGTGTAGAAGTGTTCCATTTTCACCACATCCACACCAACATCTATTATTTTTTGATTTTTTGATTATTGCCATACTTGCAGGAGTAAGGTGGTATTGCATTGTGGTTTTGATTTGCATTTGTCTGATCATTAGTGATGTTGAGCATTTTTTCATATGTTTGTTGGCCATTTGTGTATCTTCTTTTGAGAATTGTCTATTCATGTCCTTAGCCCACTTTTTGATGGGATTATTTGTTTTTTCCTGCTGATTTACTTGAGTTCCTTGTAGATTCTTTATATTGGTCCTTCGTTGGGTGCATAGTTTGCAAAGATTTTCTTCCATTCTGTGGGTTGTCTGTTTACTATGTTGATTATTTCTTTTGCTGTGCAGAAGCTTTTTAGTTTAATTAGGTCTCATCTATTTATCTTTGTTTTTGTTGCATTTGTTTTTGGGTTCTTGGTCCTGAAGTCTTTGGATAAGCCATTGTCTAGAAGGGTTTTGCCGATGTTATCTTCTAGAATTTTTATGGCTTCACGTCTTAGATTTAAGTCTTTGGTTCATCTTGAGTTGATTTTTATATAGGGTGAGGGATGAGGATACAGTTTCATCCTTCTACATGTGGCTTGCCAATTATCCCAGCACCATTTGTTGAATATGGTGTCCTTTCCCCACCTAATGTTTTTGTTTGCTTTGTCAAAGATCAGTTGGCTGTATTTGGCTTTGCTTACGGTTTCTCTATTCCGTTTCATTGGTCTATGTGCCTATTTTCATACCAGTGTTATGATGTTTTGGTGACTACGTTCTTATAGTATAGTTTGAAGTTGAGTAAAATGATACTTCCAGATTATTCTTTTTGCTTAGTCTTGCTTTGGCTGTGTGGACTCTTTTTTAGTTCTGTATGAATTTTAGAATTGTTTTCTCTATTTCTGTGAAGAATGATGATGATACTTTGGTGGGAATTGCATTGAATTTTTAGATAGCTTTTGGCATTATGGTAATATTCACAATATTGATTCTACCACTCCATGAGCATGGAATGTGTTTCCATTTGTTTGTGTCGTCTATGATTTCTTTCAGCAGTGCTTTGTAGTTTTCCTTGCAGAGGTCTTTTGCATCCTTGGTCAGGTATATTTCTAAGTATTATATTTTATTTTTATTTCATTTCATTTCATTTCATTTCATTTGCAGATATTGTAAAAGGGGTTGAGTACTTATTTCATTCTCAGCTTGGTCGCTGTTGGTGTATAGCAGAGCTATTGATTTGTGTACATTGATTTTGTATCCTGAAACTTTGCTGAATTCATTTATGAGTTCTAGGAGCTTTTTGGATGAGTCTTCAGGATTTTTTGGATATATAATCATATAACCAGTGAACAACAACAGCTTGACTTCCTCTTTACTGATGTGGATGCCCTTTATTTCTTCCTCTTGTCCAATTGCTCTGGCTAGGACTTCCAGTACTATGTTGGACAGAAGTACTGAAAGAGGGCAGTCTTATCTTCTTCCAGTTCTCAGGGAATGCTTTCAACTTTTCTCCATATAATATAATGTTGACTGTGGGTTTGCCATAGATGGCTTTTATTATCTTAGGTATGTCCTTTCTATGCCAATTTTGCTGAGGCTTTTAATCATAAAGGGATGCTGGGTTTTGTCAAATACTTCTTCTGCATCTATTGAGATGATCATGTGATTTTTGTTTCTAATTCTGTTTATGTGGTGTACAACATTTATTGACTTGTGTATGTTAAACCATCACTCTATCCCTGGTATGAAACCCACTTGATCATGTTGGATTATCTTTTTGATATGCTGTTGGACTCAGTTACCCAGTATTTTGTTGAGGATTTTTGCATCTATGTTCATCAGGGATATTGGTCTGTCGTTTTCTTTATTTGTTATGTCCTTTCCTGGTATTGGTATTAGGGTGATACTGGCTTCATAGAATGATTTAGGGAAATTCCCTCTCTCTATCTTGTGAAATAGTGTCAATAGGATTGGTACCAATTCTTCTTTGAATGTCTGATAGAATTTTACTGTGAATCCATCTTGCCCTGGAAATTTTGTGGGGAATTTTTAAATTGCCATTTCAATCTCACTGATTTCTCTGTTCAGAGTTTCTATTTCTTCCTGGTTTAATCTAGGAGGGTTGTATATTTCCAGAAATTTATCCATCTCCTCTAGGTTTTCTAGTTTGTGTGCATAAAGGTATGTTCTTAGTAGCCTTGAATGATCTTTTGTATTTCTGTGGTATCAGTTGTAATATCTCCCATTTTGTTTCTAGTTGAGCTTATTGACATCTTCTGTCTTCTTTTCTTCATTAATTTCATTAATGGTCTATCAATTTTGTTTATCTTTTCAAAGAACCAGTTTTTAGTTTCATTTATTCTTTGTATTTTTTGGTTCAATTTCATTTAGTTCTGCTCTCATGTTGATTATTACTTTTCTTTTGCCGGGTTAGGGTTTGGCTTGTTCTTGTTTCTCTAGTTCCTTGAGGTGTGACCTTAGATTGTCTATTTGTGCTCTTTCAGACTTTTTGATGCAGGCATTTAACGCTGTGAACTTCCTTCTTAGCACTGCCTTTGCTGTATCCCAGAGGATATGATAGGTTGTGTCACTATTATAGTCCAGTTCAAAGAACTTTTTAATTTCCATCTTGATTTCACTGTTGATCCAATGATCATTCAGAAGTAGGTTATTTAATTTCCATGTATTTGCACGTTTTTAAGGGTTTGTTTTGAAGTTGATTTTTAATTTTGTTCCACTATAGTCTGAGGGAGTACTTGATATAATTTAGATTTTCTTAAATGTATTGAGACTTGTTTTGTGACCTATCATATGGTCTATCTTGGAGAATGTTCCATGTGCTGAGGAATAGAATGTATATTCTGCAGCTATTGGGTAGAATGTTTTGTAAATACTTGCTAAGTTCATATGTTCTTGGGTATAGCTTAAGTCCATCGTTTCTTTGTTGACTTTCTCTTGATGACCTGTCTAGTGCTGTCAGTGGAGTATTGAAGTCCCCCACTATTATCGTGTTGCCGTCTATCTCATTTCTTAGGTCTAGTAATAATTGTTTTTATATTTGGGACCTCCAGTATTAAATGCATATATAGTTAGGATGGTGATATTTTCCTGTTCCACTAGTCCTTTTATCATCATATAATATCCCTCTTTGTCTCTTTTAACTGCTGTTGCTTTAAAGTTTGTTTTTTTCTGATATAAGAATAGCTACTCCTGCTTGCTTATGGTGACCATTTGCTTGGAATATCTTTTTCCACCCTTTTATCTTAAGTTTATGTGAGTCCTTATGTGTTAGGTGAGTCTCTTGAAGACTGCAGATACTTGATTGTTAAATTCTTATCCATTCTGCCATTCTGTATCTTTTAAGTGGAACATTTAGGCCATTTACATTCAAGTTACTATTGAGATGTGAGGTGCTATTCTATCCATTGTGCTAGTTGTTGCCTGAATTCCTTGGTTTATTATTCATTGTGTTGTTGTTTTATAGGTCCTGTGAGATTTATGCTTTAAAGAGGTTCTATTTTGGTGTATTTCGAAGATTTGTTTCAAGATTTAGAGCTGCTTTTAGCAGTTCTTGTAGTGCCGGTTTGGTAGTGGCAAATTCTCTGGGCATTTGTCTGAAAAAGTCATTATCTTTCCTTCATTCTTGGCTGATAATTGTTTTGTTTAAGGAGGCTGAAGATAGAACCCCAATCCCTTCTAGCTTGTAGAGTTTCTGCTGACAAATCTATTGTTAATCTGATAGGTTTTCATTTGTAGGTTACCTGAAGCTTTTGCCTCACAGATCTCAAAATTCTTCCCTTTATTTTGACTTTAGATAACCTAATGACTGTATGCCTAGGTGATGATCATTTTGCCATGAATTTTCCGCATGTTCTTTGAGCTTCTTGTATTTGAATGTCTAGATCTCTAGCAAAGCCAAGGAAGTTTTCCTGGATTATTCCCTCAAATAGATTTTTGGAACTTTTAGATTTCTCTTCTTTCTCAGGAACACTAATTATTCTTATTTTATGTCATTTAACAAATCCCAAACTTCTTGGAGGCTTTGTTCATTTTTGTGATTTGTTTTTCTTTGGCTTTGCCGAACTGGGTTAATTTGAAAGCTTTGTCTTTGAGCTCTGAAGTTCTCTCTTCTACTTGTTTGATTATATTGTTGAAACTTTCCAGTGTATTTGGTATTTCTTTAAGTGTGTCTTTCATTTTCAGAAGTTGTGATTGTTTTGATTTACAATAAAAATAAATTTATCTATATATTTGTTGTCAATATCCTGTATCTTTTTTAAGTTTATTTAAGTTGGTTTCCACCTTTCTCTGATACCTCCTTGAGTAGCTTAATAATTGACCTTCTGAATTATTTCTGGCATTCACAGATTTTGTCTTGGTTTGGATCCATTGCTGGTGAGCTAGTGTGATCTTTTGGGAGTGTTAAAGAACATAGCTTTTTCATATTACCAGAATATTTTCTTGTCCCTTTTCATTTGGGTAGACTATGTCAGAGGAAAGATCTGGAACTCAAGGGCTGCGGTTCAGATTCTTTTCTCCCGTGGGGTGATCCCTTGATGTGAAGCTCTTCCCCTTCTTCTAGGTATGGGGCTTCCTGAGAGCCAGACTGCAGTGATTGTTATTGCTCTTCTGAGTCTAGCCACCCAGCAGAACTATCAGGCTAGGGGCTGGTACTGGGGAGTCTCTGCAAAGAGTCCTCTGATGTGATCTGTCTTCAGGTCTCTCAGCCATGAATACCAGCACCTGCTCCGGTGGGAGGTAGCAGGGGAACGAAGTAAACTCTTTGAGGGTCCTTGGTTGTAGTTTTGTTTAGTGTGCTGGTTTTCTCAAATGCTGGTTGTGCTAGCAGTGAAGATGTCACGTGGACAGACTCAAGATCTCGGGGTTAGCCAGGATGTTACAGGAAGTGGAATTAGCTGTTGTTGTTGTTTTTCCTTTCTTGGAGCAAGGTTGTTATTTTATGAGTTGCTGTAATGGCTTGAGTTGGCTGGCCTCAAGTCAGGAGGTGGCACTTTCAAGAGAGCATCAGCTGCTGTAGTATAGGGGGAATACAAGCTTGCCCTAAGTTCTCCTGGATAAGTATTTGAGTTTCTCAGGTGATGGGCAGGGCTATAGATCTCCCAAGAGATTATGTTTTTTGTCTTCAGCTACTAGAATGGGTAGAGAAAGACCATCAGGTGGGAATGGGGTTAGGCCTGTCTGAGCTCAGACTCTCCTTGGGCACGGCTTGTGGTGGTCACTGCGGGCTATAAGGGTATAGTTCTCAAGTCAATGAAGTTAGGTTCCCAAGGGGGTTATGGCTGCTTCTGCTGCCTCATACAGGTCACCAAGGAGGTGGGGGAAAGCTAGCAGTGACCAGCCTCACCCAGTTGACATGCAGCCAGCAAGTCCAGTCTCACTCACACTGTGCCCCACTAAGAGCACGAAGTTTATATCCAGGCAGCCAGTGAGCAGTGCTGAGATCTTGCCCCAGGCTTCAAGTCTCCCTGCTGAGAAAGCAAGCATGCCTTTCAGGTCTGGCTCCTCCACACCTGCCATGGCTTCTGTGCATACATCTGCACTTCCTGTTCACCATCACCACCACCCCTCTCCCATTCTGCCCAGAAAATTTCATGCTTGGTCAAAATCATTACAAAGTTCAGCTGGAAGTTTCCTTCTCCCTGTGGTCCTTTCTAAATTTCACTGGCAGTCCTCCCCAAAGCCCTTGTTAGATAAGGCAAAAATGGCTTCCCAGGGTTTCCCAGGGGACAGGGAGTGCCTACAGGGTTCTTCCCACTGCTTTGTCTACTTTTATATTTTGCTTGGATCTGGATTTTCAGGTTCCCAGTGAGGATTTGTATTCAGAGGCAGAATTTCCCCTCTCACACTTTGGGCACTCACAGTTTTTCAGCTTTCTCATGGAGTTTGCTGCAGCAAGCCACTTCTTTCCAAGAGTCTGTGAATTATTTTGGCTTTCCTGGTATGTTCTTGCAACAGTTCTTGAAGCAAAAGTTTACAGTGTGAGTCTCCACATGCATTAAGAAACAAACATCCATGTGGGAGCTGCAAGTCTGTCCTGCCTCCTATCTGCCATTTTTTTTCCCTCTCCCATGTGTTCTTTTAAAAAGAAAGGTTTAGCTATTTGAAAGGAATTGCAGTGAATCTGTAGATTGCTTTGGGATGTATGGGCATTTTTAAAATATGGATTCTTTCAACCCATAAACATGAAATATTTCTCCATTTTTTAGAGTCCTCTTCAATTACTTTCATCAGTATTTTATAGTTTTTATTATAGAGATCTTTCACTTTGGTTAAGTTAGTTCCTAGTTATTTAATTTTATTTGTGGCTATTGTATATTAGACTACTTTTTCATTTATTTTTCAGATTGTTCAGTGTTGGCATATCAAAATGGTGCTAATTTTTGTATGTTGATTTTGTATCCTTCAACTTTACTGAGTTTGTTTATCAGTTCTACTAGTTTTCTGTTGGAGTCTTTAAGTTTCACTAAATATAAGATCACATCATCTGAAAACAAAAATAATTTGACTTCTTCTTTTCCAGTTTGGATCTCACTCATTTCTTTGTCTCGTATAATTTCTGTAGCTAGCACTTCCAGTACTATTTTGAATAACAGTGGTGAAAGTGGGCATTCTTGCTGTATTTCAGATCTTAGGGGAAAGGCTTTCAGGTTTTCCCCATTCAGCAGGATACTAGCTGCAGGTTTTTCATACACAAATTTTATTATGTTATGTTCCTTCTATACTAGATTTTTAAGGCTTTTATTATGAAGGGATGTTGAATTTAATCAAATGCTTTTTCATCATCATTTAAAATGATCATATTATTTTTGTCTTTCATTCTGTTGATATAATGTACCACTTTGATTTGTGTATGTTCTACCATCTTTGCATTCCAGGGATAAATTCCACTTGGTCATGATGAATGAACTTTTTAATGTATTGTTGAATTCAGTTTGTTAATATTTTATTGAGGAGTTTTGAATCAATAATCATCAGGGGTATTGGCCTGTAGTTTACTTTTTGGATGTGTCTTTGTCTGGTTTTGGTATCAGGGTAATAATGGCCTTAAAGAATGCGTTTGAAAGCATTCCCTCCTCCTATAGTTTTCAGAACGGTTTGAGGAGGATTGGCCTCCTTTAAATGCTTTGTTGAATTCAGCAGTGAAGCTATCAGGTCCCAGGCTTTTCCTTATTAGGAGATGTTGTGTTATGAACTTTATCTCATTACGTGTTATTGGTCTGTTCTGCTGTTTGATTTCTTCCTTGTCCAATCTTGGTAGGTTTTATGTGTCTAGGAATATGTCCATTTTTTTCTAGATTTTCCAATTTATTGGCACATAGTTGCTCATATTAGCCACAAATGATACTTTAAATTTCTGCAGTAACAGTTGTAATGTCTCCCTTTTTTTACTTATATTTATTTGGGTCTTCTCTCTTCTTTCCTTAGTATGGCTAAAAATTTGTCACTTTTGTTTAAATTTTCAAAAACAGCAACTTTTTGTTTTATTGATCTTTTGTATTTTTTATTTCAATTTCATTTATTTCTGCTCTGATCTTTATTATTTCTTTTCTTCGACTAATTTTGAGTTTGGTTTGCCCTCACTTTTTTACTGCTTTAACATGCATTGTTAGGTTGTTTATTTGCAGTTTTTCTTCTTTTTTTGAAGTAGGCACTTACAGCTATAAACTTCCCTGTTAGTACTACTTTACTTGTATTTTATAGTTTTTGTTATGTGTATTTCCTTTATTATTTGTTTCAAGACATTTTTAAATTCCCTTTCTAATTTCTTCATTGATCTACTGGTCATTCAGGAGCATGTTGTTTAATTTTCATGTATTTTTATAGTTTCCAAAATTTCTCTTGTTATTGATTTTTAGTTTTATTTCATTGTGGTCAGAGAGGATGCTTGATATTATTCCAATTTGAAAATTTTTTATATCTAGTTTTGTGACTTAACATATGGTCTATTTATGAGAATGATCCATGTGCTGAGAAAAGAACATGTCCTCTGCAGCTATTGAATCAAATGTACTGTAATTATATATTAGATTCATTTGTTCTACAGTGCAGATTGTGGCTAATGTTTATTTGTTTATTTTCTGTCTGGAGATTTGTCCAATGCTGAAAGTGGGATGGCAAAGTCTCCAGCTATTATTGTATTGGAGCCTATCTCTCTCTTTAGCTATAACAACATTTTCTTTATATATCTTGGTGGTTGAGTGTTCAGTGCACATATACTTAAAATATTTAAAATAACAATTTAAAATTGTTATATCCTCTTGCTGAATTGACCCCTTTATCATTATATCGTGACCTTCTTTGTCTTTTCTTATAAGTTTTGTCTTGAAATCTATTTTGTCTGATATAAGTATAGTGATGCCTGCTCTTTGTGGGGTTCACTTGGCATGGAATATGTTTTTCCATCCCTTTATTTTCAGCCCCTGTGTGTCTTTATAGGTGAAATGTGTTTCACATAGGGTATAGATCATTGGGTTTTTTTTTTTTTCAATGCATTCAGCCATCCTATGTCTTTTGAGTGGAGAGTTAAGTCCATTTACATTCAATATTATATTGATAAGTAAAGACTTACTTAGATCATTTTTTATTTGTTTTCTGGTCATTTGCTGATCTTCTCTTTCTTTCTTTCCTTCCTGTCTTTATTTTAGTGAAGGTAATTTTCTCTGTTGATATTATTTAATTTCTTGCTTTTTAATTTTTTTGGATCTATTGTATTTTTTCGTTTGAGGTTACAGTGATGCTTGCAGATACTATCTTATTACCCATTATTTTAAACTAATAACAACTTAATACTATTTGCACGAGCAAACAAGCAAAAAGAAAACTAGTAAAGACTGTATGATTTAACTTCATCCTTCCACTTTTTAACTTTTTGTTGTTACTATTTATATCTCATTGTACTATGTATGTCTTGAAAAGTTGTAGTTATTATTTTTTATTGCTTCATCATTTAGCCTTTCTACTTAAGAGTAGATTACATACTACAATTACAGTACGATAGTATTCTGTGGTTTTATGTGTCCTTACTAATACCTGTGAGGTTTGTATCTTCAGATGATTTCTTATTGCTCATTAACACCCCTTTCTTTCTGATTGAAGTAGTCCCTTTATGATTTCTTATAGGACAGGTCTAGTGATAAAATCCCTCAGCTATTGTTTGTCTGGGAAAATTTTTATTTCTCCCTCATGTTTGAAGGATATTTTCCCCAGGTATACTATTCTAATTTTTTTTATCCCTTTAGCACTTTAAATATGTCATGCCACTCTCTTTTGGCATGTAACATTTCCACTGAGCAGTTTGCTGCCAGGTATATTGGAGCTCACTTATGTGTTATTTTTTTCTTTTCTCTTGCTGCTTTTAGGATCTTTTCTTTATCCTGGATCTTTGGGAGTTTGATTATTAAATCATTTGAGGTAGTCTTCTTTATGTTAAATCTGCTTGGTGTTCTATGGCCTTCTTGTACTCAAATACTGCTATCTTTGGGTATGGGAAGTTCTCAGTTATTATCCCTTTGAATAAAATTTCTAACCCTGTGGTTTTTGGTACCTCCTCTTTAAAGCCAATAACTCCTAGATTTGCACTTTTGTGGCTATTATTTATATACTCTAGTCGTGCTTCATTGGTTTTTGTTGTTGTTCTTTTTTCTTTGGTCTCCTCTTACTGTGTATTTTCAAATAGCCTGTTTTCATGCTCACTACTTCTTTCTTCTACTAGATGAATTCAGCTATTAAAAGACTTCTGCCAACTGCAGTTTCAACTCCAGAATTTCTGCATGATTCTTTTTAATATTTGAATCTCTTTGACAAATTTCTCTAATAGAATTCTGACTTCCTTCTATGCATTATCTTGAATTTCTTTGGGTTTCCTTAAAATAGCTATTTTGAATTATCTGCCTGAAAGTTCACATATCTCCGCTGCTCCTGGATTGTTCATAGTTAGTTTATAGTTAGTTCATTTGGTGAGGTCATGTTTTCCTGGATTATCTTCATACTTTCAGATGTTCAATTGTGCCTGGGTGTTGAATAGTTAGGTATTTATTGTAGTCTTCACAGTCTGGGCTTGTTTGTACCCATTCTTCTTGGGAAGATGTTCCAAATATTCAAGAGGACTTGGGTGTTGTGATCTAAGCCGATTCTGATTTTGGAGGTACCTCAAACCTAGTAGCATTTTGTTTCTTGAAGACTTGTAGAGGTACTGCCTTGATGGTCTTGGAAAATATCCAAAAGAATTCTCCAGATTAGCAGGCAGAGACTCTCGTTCTCTTCCCTTACTTTCTCCAAAACAAATGGAGCCTATCTTCCTTTTGTAAACCACCTAAGGCTGGGGATGGAGTGACACAAACACCCCTGTGGCCACCACCACTATGACTGTGCTGGGTCACACCTGAAGGTAGCACAGCACTGGGTGTTGCCCAAGGCCTGCTGTAACTACTTCCTGGCTACTGCATATGTTTGCTCAAAGCCCTTGGTCTCTACAATCAGCAAGTGGCAAAGACAGCCAGGCTTGTGTCCTTCCTGTCAGGATGGAGACTTGCCCCATGTCCCATGGGGTTTCAGAGGTACCATCTGGGATCCAAGGACTAGAGTCAAAAACCTTGGAAGTTCACCTGGTGTTCTATTGTACTGCAGCTGAGCTGGCACTCATACCACAAGATGCAGTCCTTCCCACTCTTCTTTCCACTTACTAAATGCAAAGGACCCTTATCCCATAGCCACCACTACTTCAGGCCGATGGATAGTACTGCCAGACTAGTGTTGTTTTTTGTTTTTTGTTTTTTTGAGATAGTCTCACTTTGTTGCCTAGGCTGGAGTGCAGTGGCACGATCTTGGCTCACTGCAACCTCCGCCTCCTGGGTTCAAGCGATTCTCCTGCCTCAGCCTTCCAAGTAGCTGGGATTACAGGCACGCACCACCATGCCCAGCTAATTTTTTGTACTTTTAGTAGAGATGGGATTTCACCATGACGGCCAAGCTGGTTTCAGATTCCTGACCTCAAGTGATCTGCCCACCTCGGCCTCCCAAACTGCTAGGATTACAGGAGTTAGCCACCGTGCCCAGCCTACTGTTGATATTTTCTTAAGGCCAAAGGGCTCTTCAAACAGCTTGTGGTGAATGCCACCTAGTCAGGGATTCACCCTTAAGTGCAGTGGGCAACCCTCTCTCCCTGGGCAAGTCCAGAAATGCCATTCAAGAGCCAAGTCTTGGAATTGGCAACCCCAAGAGTCTGCTTAGTGCTCTACACCCTGTGGCTAAGCTGCTATCTAAAGTGAAGTCAAAGTCCCCTTTACTTTTCCCTCTCTTTTTCTCACACAGAAGGAGTTTCACCCCATAGCCACCACAGCTGGGAATGTGCTGAATCTCACCTGAGGCCAGCATGTCTCAGTGTCCCACCCAAGGCCCTCAGTGTATTATCTGGATATTGCTACTGGCTATTCAGGGGCCAAAGGCTCTTCAGCTAGCAGGTGATGAATTCTTCCAGGACTAGGTTCATTCCTTCAAGGCAGTGGGTTATCTTCTGTCTCAGGATGTGTCTAGATATATCCAGGAACTAGGGTCTGGAAAGGGGGTCTGATGACTCTGACCATTACACTGTCTTGCTGTGACTGAACTGGTAACCTAGATGTAAGACAAAGTCATCCCTACTCAAATCTCCTCTTCCCAAAGAGAAGAAAGGCTTCTCCTTTGGAACTGTGACTGTGCAGCCTGAAGTTAAGGGAGGGATGATGACAGTACTCCCTCAGCCACTCCAGTTGGTCCCTCAGTGGGTCACATACCCTCCCCAGCCCACTGTCTGTGTGCCTAGTTCAGCCCTAGGACCCACCTGGTGTTGCAGTGTTTGTGGCCTAGACTGCCTCTCAAGCTCCTTTGGGGACCCAGAGAACTGTAGTCACAGTGGCGAGGCTTGAAATAAATGAAGTTTGAGCCACTGAGATCAGCTATTCCTATCTGGCTAAGGCTGGTTCAAATGCATCCTCCATAGGCAGATGTCAGCTGAGTGTGGTCCAACTTTGCTTTCTGTTGCAACAAAGGCAGCACTGAGTTTAATGCCTCACAATTGCTGTCTCTTCCTCTCTTCAAGGCACACACTGCCACTGCTGAGGGATGAGAGAGGGGTGGCATTAGCAAGTTAAGAATGTTTTTTCTACCTCTTTTTGCAATGTGAAGTTAAAACCAGGTGCTGTGAATACTCACTTAATTTTTGTTTCTTAAAAAGGTGTTTTTCTGGTGTACATAGTTGTTAAATTTGTGTTCTTGCAAGGGGGAAGATTGGTGGAAACTTCTTGTTTCATCCCACCTCCTGATGAGGTGTCTTCATAGGCATCACTCATTGGAAGGCTATGGCCAGCAGTTCAGGAACGCTTTGGCCCCTCTAGCACAACAGGTTCTGAATCTTGAGGGGTAACAGGACAAACATTCAAATTCAGAAAATGCAGAGAACCTTTGTGAGATACTATACAAGAAAATCATTCCCACGGTTTAGTCATCAGATTCAGCAGAGGTGAAATAAAATAAAAATTTTAAAGACAGCTAGGGAGAAGGCACAGGTCACCTACAAAGCTTTTCTGCTTGCACCCTTAGTTGCAAAACCCTCCCCTTACCAAAGCATCTCAATTAATCAAGTTTGATTAATTATAAAGAGACAATATTTTATCAACCATTGTAAAAAAATAATCCAGGCTTTGGAGCCAGACAGAGCAGAGTTTGAATCCTGGTTCCAGTACTTTAGCTTGTGGTCTTGGGCAAGTTATTTCAGAAAATTCCTAACCTCTCAGAACTTTTCCTATTTCTTGAGCCTCAAATTTGGATAATATTTGGTTGCTGCAAAAGTAATTGCGGTTTTGCCATACTATTATAATAATAAGACCTAACTCAAGGGTTAGGAGGATAAAATGAAATCGCCTTTGTGAAAGTGCTTTCCTCATAGCCTCAGCACATAACAGTTACTTTGCAAATTTGCAAATGTCCATTTCTTCATCCCTTTTTTCGAAGTCCTGTATGTTTTCTCCTTTGGTTGGAGGCTTGATGTGAACTAAAGAACTGGAAAACATACAGTCAGACTTTGAATGGATGTTAAATGAAAGTGTGTGAAAGGTATAGTTAAGGCTAAACAGAAAGCCAAGACTTCAGAATGATCCCCAGCTGTTTTGGAGATTCAACTAAAGCAGACATGGGGGTAAAGTGTATGTGGATAGAGCTGTTTCATGTATAAAGGAAAGGACAATAATCATGGCTGTCCCTGAACAGAAGAATCTAAGTCTTGAAGGAATGAGATAGTGCAGAGCAGGTAATTTTTGAAGGGGGAATTTAGAAGAGGGAAGGAGAAGTTCCAATGAGGAGCCAGAGAAACTTATTGAATACCCAGTGTGCTGTTTATTAAATGACTTTTGGCAAGTTATTAAAACCCTTTGAGCCTCAGTTTCCTCATCTGTAGAGTAGAGATAAAGCCTCAAAGATTCATTGTGAGAGTAAATTGAAGGAATGTAAAATGTTTAGCTCAGTACTTGGCACATAGTACTGTGGACAAATAGCAGCTGATGCCAGGAACAGAGGTGGCAGGACCACAGTCCCAGATGAGGCACAGCAGAGGTGCTGGCCCAGTCATTGAAAAGGAGGCCATGAAAGTGTCCCTAAAATATCTTGTTTTTCAAATTGGCCTCTGGTTGGGCTCTGGCATTTTTTTTTTTCAGAGCAAGGTCAGATCAACCATATATTATTAGCTATCCTCTAGAACTCAGTGGAGTTCTCCAAAGCAGAGACTGACAGTTGCTGAGTAATGAAGAGCATGGAGTCAGGAAGAAAGCAAGTGGCCTGAAGTTGGAGGATTAAGGAGGACTGATAAGGATCCCAGGAAAAGAGTACAAAGATACTACAAGGGTTGGTGGGAATTGCTTCTCTATTCAATCTAAGACAGGTAAAGGCTCTATTAATGCCTAAAATTAGGATAATAGGGAGAAATCTGTGAAAATAGCAATTTTCTAATAATAATGAACATTATATTTATTCAAATTGAACTGCTAGGGTTTTAATGCTCTTAGGGCAAGTTTCCTTTTAAAAGAGGACAAAGCAAGATACTGCTTAACACAGGGCCTATATTCCAAATGATGAAATATTAGATATTATGGAAATATTAGTGTGAAGCAGACCATCTTGACCTATTCATCTACCATGCTGACAACACCTTACATTCCCCATGACAAATATCAGTCTTCTTTATGGCTTCATAGTTGTATAAAAGAATTTCCAATTTTAATCCACAGTCATATCCAAGCTCCCTTGATGTTGATATCCTAAGCCAAATTGCCTAGAGCTATTATGGGAGTAACAGTTTAGAAGGTGTGAAAAACAAAAGTCTTGCTTTTCACATGGAATGGAATCTTAATTTCAGAAGCAGCACTGAGAGCTCCATAACAAAACTACCTAGTCAGAACATGTTCTTGTTTTGATTTACTGTGCAGCCTATGTCTAGTAACCAGACCAAAGTTTATGAAATTAAAATTTTTAAAAAGGAACTGTATTCACTGGGTCATAGCCATAAGATTTCAAATATATGATTTCTGTATTCACAACTCAGTGAAAACACAATCTTTCTCTTCAGAGCTGATAATTGCAGCAAGTAAGAAACTTAGTCCCCAAAATGTCTCTAAGAGTCAGATAGTCACTAATTGAAGAGTCACTTGAGAGCTTTGCCCATTGCCTGTTTATGTGTTATGTTGCTCAGCAGTTTTTTCTGGAAATTATGTTTTTCTGGAAATAATATGTATATAGAGGAATATAACATGCATAGATCAATACAACTAACCTACAATAAACTGCCCATATTTAAAGTGCACAATCTTACAAAACATATGTACACACCCACGAAACTATCACTACAACCAAGATAATGAACATATTCATCTTCCTCCCAAAGTTTCCTCATGGACCTTTGTAATAAGGAAAACCACTGACCTGTTTTTTGTCACTACAGGTTAGTTTTCATTTTCTAGTTTTCTGCCAATGGAATCACACAGAATGTATTCATTTTTGTCCAGCTTTTTTCATTCAGCATAATTAGTTTGAGAGTTATTCATGTCGTTGAGTGTATCAATGGTTCATTCTTTTTTATTACACGGTAGCATTCCATTGCTGAGCAGTTTTATTTGAGGTCCCTACCTCTTCTTGCCAGATCCAAATGAAAGAATTCATGAGGGACCCTTATTTAGTAGTACCTGCTCTGTGACACTCACAATGTACTCATTAAGAATGCAAGCTGTTGTGTCAGACTGCCTGGTTTTGTCATTTTGTATCTGTGTGACCTTGGACAAGTGGCATAGATGCTCTGAGTCTCTGTTTCCACATAAGGTAAGAATGAAAACTACAAGAGATAATATAACTACATGAAAGCATATAACATACTTAGCCCCGGGCTCATCACACTGTAAGAAATCAATAAATGATAGTTATTAGCATTTCTTTGGGCAACTCAGGATCCATTCTACAATACTTCTACCCAAGGCATTAGCTTAAGTATAAACACTACTCAAACCTTACCCCTACCCAAACTTTTCAGCCTTATGTCCTATGCCCTCAGTTCTATTGGACAATAGGAATCAAGATGCTGAGCCATTGCCCAAAGGTGATGTCAACTCTGGCTGAAGCAAGAAATTGTTTCATTTGGTAATGCCTTAGCCTAACATTTGGTGCCTTCCATGAATTTGTCATGACCTACCTATCTGCTTTATCGGTTGCAATTTTCCTACCTTTAGATCATTGTGTTTGTCCACTCAAATGTTTCTTCACCCTACCCCATCTCTGCCTGTCAAAATTCTGCCTATATGCCAATTCAGGAAGTAAGATTAGAAATATTGGCATATCATAAACAGCCCATAGTTGATATGCCAAGGAGCTAGAGCTCTAGCCACTAGACATGCTCTTTTGGGACAAAGGCTGTATTTGATACTGCTACTCTGCATCCTTCATAATATTGTCAGCATTGAAAAGTTCTATATTTATTAACTGAGGAATTTTTTAATAGAAGGTCGTGAATTTTGGATCTAAGGCAAATTTCTTTAATATTGTGGTGACAAGACCTAAAACTAATACAAATAAAAAATATCTGTGCAATGAAAAATTTGCAAGCGAATCAATGATCCCACATATTTTAAGCAACGGAGCAAAGAAAATGTAGGATAAAGGCAGATTAGTGCCAACTCCTTGAAATTCACTGCTAGGAGAACTCCAGGACTTCTATCTCCCACTCCTCTGTTAATTGAACTCTATATATTCACATATTTCTGAGTCTTCCCACCCTTCGGTATTTCCTCATCTTTCACTTGTATTTTCTTGTAAGTGACTAATATTCTTTAGTCATGATTGTTCAGCCTTTCTAATCCTGTCTATTCATTCTTTCTTACAGAGAAGCTTACCATTTAAAATATCCCTCCTTACTTTTTAGCTTTTTTCCTTGCTTTTATCCTCCTTTTCCTCCTCTTGGTCTATGATATTCTCCTCTGTTTATTTTTTATTTGTCTGTTTGTTTTAATTTTTTTATTTTATAGATTTAGGGGTACAAGTGCAGCTTCATTACATGGATATATTGTGTAGTGATGAAGCCTAGGATTTTAGTGCACCAGTCAACAGAGTAGTATACATTGCCTCCAACAGGTAGTTTTTTATCCTTCACTCCCCTCCCACATTTCCACCTTTTGGAGTCTCCAATGTCAATTACTCCATTCTATATGCCCATTTGTATTCATTATTTAGCTCCCACTTATAAGTGAGAATATGTGGTTTTTAAATTTCTCTTTCTGTCATTTCACTAACAACAATAACCTCCAGTTGATATTCTCCTATGGCTTCTAATTTTATATTCTGCAGTTGCTTTTTCTCCCTCCCCATCAATGCATCAGATCCTCTTTTGCTCCTCTCACTTTTATTTCCCTTCTCTGTGGGTCCTGTATTATCTTCTCTGTATAAAAACTCCTTTTGCCTGCTCTTTGGAAGTTCTGCCTGTTTCCTTCTTTTCCTGACCTGCCTCATGCTTGTTTCCCTCGAGGAGTGGCCCATACACTGCCTCCATTCTGCAAAGACAAAAACAGGCACAGTGGGGAAAAATCACTTAGTACATTGCTTAATCTTCCTCAGAACAAAGGGAAATGAGTGCTCAAGACATCTCTGATTATTGTCTTCTTCAGCCTTTACCTAATAATCAACCTCTTTTCTCCTTTTCCCTTTTCCAGTTTCTATTAAATATAATCATTCCACTGCCCCCTCCCACCTTCACTAGCTCTTGTTATAGTAACTGACCCCTTCTTGTGAAATAGTTCACAGCATAGGCCCCTTGTCTCTGCATCTTGGCCTGATCCTTCTCTATGGAAGGAAAGATCATGACCCCTGAAAAAAAGAAGAAAAGCTTCACTCCTTGAGGGTAAATGGAGATATACGTTTGGGGGAGGTGAATTCTCTATCTGATAAATCCTATAAGGTAGGCATATACACAGCTGTACTTAGGAATGACCAAGAGCAGAGTAAGCATGAATGGAGGAGTTAAAAGATTATCTCCCAGTAGTCATGCCCTAGACAATTGCTGTATGCCATTAGCTCAGACCTCCTAACACTTTGATTTTTTTTTTTGCTTGCAATTTTTTCAAAGCAAAAATCATTTTCTCAGTTTCACCTTAACTTCTCAATGGCTTAGAAATGTTTTTCCTAGATGTTTTTGTCATGAGATTACTGATACTATACACAATATCCTGTCACCATCATCATCCTCCAATCTTAACTGCATGGTAGTTTTTACCCAGGAGGAAATTTTTAAAATAGTCTTCGAGAAACCTTATTTTTTTTTTTTTTTTAAATGGAGTCTCACTGTGTCATCAGGCTGGAGTGCAGTAGCATGATCTTGGCTCACTGCAACCTCCGCCTCCCAGATTCAAGCAATTCTCCTGCCTCAGCCTCCTGAGTAGCTGGGACTACAGGTGTGCACCACCTCTCCCAGCTAATTTTTGTATTTTTAGTAGAGACGGGGTTGGCTGTGATGGTCTTGATCCCTTAACCTCGTGATCCACCCACCTCGGCCTCCCAAAGTGCTGAAATTACAGACGTGAGCCACCGTGCCCGGCCGATAAAACCCTTTCTTAACATGTGACCATTTCTTATGTGTGACCATTTGCAAACAAGCTGAAGAACCTTGGTCAAATTTCTATGAGGCCCTCCTTCTCTCCCACCAATGGTGGTTAATGTATAACAGTAAGCTTAAAAGCTTAGTTTAAGATAAAAAACAAACATATGTGGTTGGTTTTGTTAAGTTTTGAAATATTTTAAACAAAAATCATGTATTTGATAAACAATGGAGCGAAACAGAGACATTGACTAACTTAATAAACACTAGCGTAGGACCTGGTGTGGATGAGCCCGAACAATTCATACTGGGGAGGAAAGAGAAAAATTAGAACCATTTTCTGCTATTAAAAAGCTTTCAATCAAGTGCAAACCTTTGGAATGCAGGAGGACAAGCATAGAAGCAATTAATTATAATGAAAGACAAAATAAAATCGGCAACATAACAGTGGTACAAACTAATATCTGTGGTGAAGCAGAAAAAAGTAATTCAAACTAGAGGAATCAAGAGCAGCCTCACTGAAGTAGTGGGAGTACCACAATTAATCTCTCAAAAATGAGTAGTAGTCAGGTCGTAAGATTCAGTAGAGAAAGGAAGAACACTCTTGGTATTGGAAACAGAATCAATGATGACATGGAGGCTTACGAGATATTTGTAGGGCAGTGGTGAGAAACTAAGGGACTAGCAAGATGCATGGACAGTGAGAGTTTTTAGGCCAGAGGTATTTGCTTTGTTGAAGTGCATCTGAATGTGCTTTTTCTTTCAGGAATCTACAGAAGATTGCAAGGGAAAGGAGGTGGAAGAAAGAAAATGATGGTATAAATTCAAAAAAATCCTCTTGATTACTGAATTAGTTTCCTAGGGCTGCAGTAACAAGTACCACAAACATGGTCACTTAAAACAACAGAAATTTATTGTCTCACAGTTCTAGGGCTAAAAGTTTGAAATCGAGATTTTGGAATGGCCATGGTTTCTATAAAAGCTCTAGGGAAGGGTTCTTTCTTGGCTTTTCTAGCTTCTGGTAGCCCCAGCCATTTCTGGGCATGTAGCTACATTACTCCAATCTCTGCCTCCATCTTCACATAGTCATCTTCTCTCTTTATCCAAATGTCCCTCTTGTTATAAAAATATTTGTCATATTGGAATAAGGGCCCACCCTACTCTACTATAAAGTTATCTTAACTAATTATATCTCTAACAACTCCTCTTCCAAATAGTCACATTCTGAAGTTCTGAGTGTTAGCACATTAACATATCTTTTTGGGGGGATACAATTCAACCCATAACAACTGCTGAGTAGAGTGCAGGTAAACCACGGCTCTGCAAAGCCTGAAATTATCATTCCAAAACACGATTTCGGCATGACAGGGAACCAAATGAGTTTTGGAAAATCAAATGCCTTAGAGATAAAAGTAGAATGCAGAAAAGAGAAAACAGCAACAACCAAAATACACATTGACACACAGAAACAAACTTTGCATCATTCTCAGTATCAGATTATAGAACAACCTGAAAATCTTCATGTGGTCACAGGCTCTCCTCTAAAGGAAGTAGAGAAACAATATATCATTTGCATCTGAGGGTCTGAGATGAAAACTACCAGAAAAGAAAACAAAAGGTTAATCTTCACAGGAAGTTTGAGAGTACTAATAAATGCTCAAGGTTGGTGAGGGACAAAGTGTAGTTAAGATCCTGCCATTTACTCTCAGACTTTCTCTGCCAATAGAAGGGCTTGCTCTGATAAGAAACAAGTTAAATTTTTAACTTAGAAAAAATGAAAAGGTTTGTGAAATAATAATAATAAAATATTCCATTTGGTTCCAGTTTAGGGTTCCCAAAGCCCTTTCATGTAAGTTCTTGGTTGCTTTCTATAACAGCCCCATAAAGTAGGAAATGCAGGTGTTTATGACTATCTCCCAAATCTTCCTTGGAAGGATTTGGTTCTACTAACAAGTGGTTGCTCAGCATTTTCTTCAGGAGAGTGTTTTACAACATTGGTTTTATCTCAAGGCTCATTCCTGAAATTTTTTAAGCAAGTGAACAAGCATTGTAATAGAAAGAATGATTATTTGCTTCTAAAAGTGAGTGACTGCTGCAGTTACAATAGTAGCAGGAAGTCAGTGTTGTATTGGGGTATCCCTGTCTGAGAAGTAAAGGAGAAAACGGTAGCTACTCGCCTAAGCCTGATTCAGGCTGACCAAGACAGATTAGTTTGTCTTCAGAGCCCTGTTATAACCCTAGCTTCATGCCAAACTGTGCACTGCCCTTCTGCCAGAATTATTTAAACTACCCAAAAATTAGTATCCCCACAAAATTAGGACACCTCACCCCAAATGACCCTTAAGTACTGAAAGCCTTCTCCTGCATGGATTCAGTTGCTGATTGTTTCAGGAGGCCTAGGATAAGGGACTACTGTCTTCCCCTCTGTGGTTTCCCGACCTAGCTTAAGAATTTGGAAGTACTAAAAACTCTTGTATTCTCACATTGTGATTATGGCATTAAAGCCATACCCAGAATCAGACCCCTGACTGTGAGGCTACCCCAAGGGACCCATTCAGGTAAATCCCTTGCTGGTGTTCTTTACCTGGGCCACTGGTAGCTTCTGGAAACAGTAGCTACAGCTAAGTAGAAAAAAAATCAAAAAGTATCATTCAAAACAGCGTCTTCATTGTTGGTTTGATTTGGCTTGTCACTCTACCAAGAAGCCAACAAGGAAACGGAAGCAGAAAAGATAGCCCACTAATAGGCTGTATTTTCATCTGAAAAGGCCAAACACCACTACTGTCCTCGCCTTTACCCACTTTCCAAACCTTCATTTGTTTATTTGTTTGACAAACATTTACTGAGCTAAGACCTCGTATTGTACAAAGATGAATAAGAGACATAACATTTCTATACTTAAAATTAGCGAAGTCTATCTTTGGTACAACCTCACAATAAGCTCCTATTTTATATCCCATTTCCCAAAGTCTTTGCTTTCAGAGAGCTAACAAAAAAATCTCCACCAGACTGTGGGCTTCTTGAAAGCACAGAGACTTTTTTTAAATTTTTTTTAAGGATGGGATATCTGACTATTATTTATTTACTTAAATGAACACATAATAATTGTACATATTCAGTTGGAAGTAAAGCACTCCTCAGCAAATGAAAAAGAACAGATATTATAACAAACTGTCTCTCAGACCACAGTGCAATCAAACTACAACTCAGGATTAAGAAACTCACTCAAAACTGCTCAACTACATGGAAACTGAACAACCTGCTCCTGAGTGACTACTGGGTACATAACAAAATGAAGGCAGAAATAAAGATGTTCTTTGAAACCAATGAGAACAAAGACACAACGTACTAGAATCTCTGGGACACATTCAAAGCAGTGTGTAGAGGGAAATTTATAGCACTAAATGCCCACAAGAGAAAGCAGGAAAAATCTAAAATTGACAACCTAACATCACAATTAAAAGAACTAGAAAAGCAAGAGCAAACACATTCAAAAGCTAGCAGAAGGCAAGAAATAACTAAGATCAGAGCAGAACTGAAGGAAATAGAGACACAAAAAACCCTTCAAAAAATCAATGAATCCAGGAGCTGGTTTTTTGAAAGGATCAACAAAATTGATAGACCGCTAGCAAGACTAATAAAGAATAAAAGAGAGAAGAATCAAATAGATGCAATAAAAAATGATAAAGGGGATATCACCACCGATCCCAGAGAAATAGAAACTACCATCAGAGAATACTATAAACACCTCTACGCAAATAAACTAGAAAATCTGGAAGAAATGGATAAATTCCTCAACACATACACCCTCCCAAGACAAAACCAGGAAGAAATTGAATCTCTGAATAGACCAATAACAGGCTCTGAAATTGAGGCAATAATAAATAGCGTGCCAACCAAAAAGAGTCCAGGACCAGATGGATTCACAGCCGAATTCTATCAGAGGCACAAAGAGGAGCTAGTACCATTCCTTCTGAAACTATTCCAATCGATAGAAAAAGAGGGAATCCTCCCTAACTCATTTTATGAGGCCAGCATCATCCTAATACCAAAGCCTGGCAGAGACACAACAAAAAAAGATAATTTTAGACCAATATCCTTGATGAACACTGATGCAAGAATTCTCAATAAAATACTGGCAAACTGAATCCAGCAACACATCAAAAAGCTTATCCACCATGATCAAGTGGGCTTCATCCCTGGGATGCAAGGCTGGTTCAACATATTAAAATCAATAAACGTAATCCAGCATATAAACAGAACCAAAGACAAAAACCACATGATTATCTCAATAGATGCAGAAAAGGCCTTTGACAAAATTCAACAACCTTTCATGCTAAAAACCCTCAATAAATTAGGTATTGATGGGAAGTATCCCAAAATAATAAGAGCTATCTATGACAAACCCACAGCCAATATCATACTGAATGGAAAAAAACTGGAAGCATTCCCTTTGAAAACTGGCACAAGACAGGGATGCCCTCTCTCACCACTCCTATTCAACATAGTGTTGGAAGTTCTGGCCAGGGCAATCAGGCAGGAGAAGGAAATAAAGGGTATTCAATTAGGAAAAGAGGAAGTCAAATTGTCCCTGTTTGCAGATGACATGCTTGTATATCTAGAAAACCCCATTGTCTCAGCCCAAAATCTCCTTAAGCTGATAAGCAACTCAGCAAAGTCTCAGGATACAAAATCAATGTACAAAAATCACAAGCATTCTTATACACCAATAACAGACAAACAGAGAGCCAAATCATGAGTGAACTACCATTCACAACTGCTTCAAAGAGAATAAAATACCTAGGAATCCAACTTACAAGGGATGTGAAGGACCTCTTCAAGGAGAACTACAAACCACTGCTCAAGGAAATAAAAGAGGATACAAACAAATGGAAGAACATTCCATGCTCATGGGTAGGAAGAATCAAGATCATGAAAATGGTCAGACTGCCCAAGGTAATTTATAGATTCAATGCCATATCCATCAAGCTACCAATGACTTTCTTCACAGAATTGGAAAAAACTACTTTAAAGTTCATATGGAAGCAAAAAAGAGCCCACATTGCCAAGTCAATCCTAAGCCAAAAGAACAAAGCTGGAGGCATCACGCTACCTGACTTCAAACTATACTGCAAGGCTAAAGTAACCAAAACAGCATGGTACTGGTACCAAAACAGAGATATAGACCAATAGAACAGAACAGAGCCCTCAGAAATAATGCCACATATCTACAACCATCTGATCTTTGACAAACCTCAAAAAAACAAGCAATGGGGAAAGGATTCCCTATTTAATAAATGGTGCTGGGAAAACTGGCTAGCCATATGCAGAAAGCTGAAACTGGATCCCTTCCTTACACCTTTTACAAAATTTAATTCAAGATGGATTAAAGACTTACATATTAGACCTAAAACCATAAAAACCCTAGAAGAAAACATAGGCAATACCATTCAGGACATAGGCATGGGCAAGGACTTCATGTCTAAAACACCAAAAGCAATGGCAACAAAAGACAAAATTGACAAATGGGATCTAATTCAACTAAAGAGCTTCTGCACAGCAAAAGAAACTACCATCAGAGTGAACAGGCAACCTACAAAATGGGAGAAAATTTTCGCAACCTACTCATCTGACAAAGGGCTAATATCCAGAATCTAAAATGAACTCAAACAAATTTACAAGAAAAAAACAAACAACCCCATCAAAAAGTGGGCAAAGGATATGAACAGACACTTCTCAAAAGAAGACATTGATGCAGCCAAAAGACACGTAAAAAAATGCTCATCATCACTGGCCATCAGAGAAATGCAAATCGAAACCACAATGAGATAGCATCTCACACCAGTTAGAATGCCGATCATTGAACATCAGGAAACAACAGGTGCTGGAGAGGATGTGGAGAAATAGGAACACTTTTACACTGTTGGTGGGACTGTAAACTCGTTCAACCCTTGTGGAAGTCAATGTGGCGATTCCTCAGGGATCTAGAACTAGAAATACCATTTGACCCAGCCATCTCATTACTGGGTATACACTCAAAGGATTATAAATCATGCTGCTATAAAAACACATGCACAAGTATGTTTATTGTGGCACTATTCACAATAGCAAAGACTTGAAACCAACCCAAATATCCAACAATGATAGACTTGATTAAGAAAATGTGGCACATATACACCATGGAATACTATGCAGCCATAAAAAATGATGAGTTCATGTCCTTTGTAGATACATGGATGAAACTGGAAACCATCATTCTCAGCAAACTATCTCAAGGATAAAAAACCAAACACTGTATGTTCTCACTCATAGGTGGGAATTGAACAATGAGAACACATGGACAAAGGAAGAGGAACATCACATACTGGGGCCTGTTGTGGGGTGGGGGGAGGGGGGAGGGATAGCATTAGGAGATATACCTAATGTTAAATGACGAGTTAATGGGTGTAGCACACCAACATGGCACATGTATATATATGTAACAAACGTGCATGTTGTGCACATTTACCCTGAAACTTAAAAGTATAATAATAATAAAAATTGTACATATTCATGGAGTACATAGTGATGTTTAAATGCATATAATGTATAGTGATCAGATCCGGGTACTTAACATATCTATAATCTCAAATACTTGTCATTTCTTTGTGTTGGGAACATTCAATATCCTCCTTTCCTCCTTCTAGCTATTCAAAACTATATATTATTGTTTCATCCTTCAGTGCTATAGAACACTAGAAGTTACTCCCCCTATCTAGCTGTAATTTCATATCCTTTAATAAATCTCTCCCTTTCCTTTTCCCCTTCCCAGCCTCTAGTATCCTCTGTTCTACTTTTCATTTCTATGAGATAAACATTTTTTAGCTTCCACATATGAATGGGAACATGCCACCATCAACTATCTGTTCCTGGCTTATTTCACTCAACGTAACATCCTCCAATTCCATCCATATTGTCACATATGACAAGGTTTCATTTGTTTTAATGGCTTAACAGTATTCCATTGTGAATATATACCCTACTTTCTTCATTTATCCATTGATGGACACTTAGGTTAATTCCATATCTTGGCTATTGTGAATAGAGTGGCAATGAACATGCAGGTACAGATGTCTCTTCAATATAATGATTTTCTTTCCTTTAGATAAATTCCCTTTAGTGGGATTGCTGTATCTGATTTCTTTTTTAAAACTTTTATTTTATGTTCAGGGGTACATGTGCACGCTTGTCATGAGGATTTGTTGTATATATTATTTCATCATCCAGATATTTTCTTAATCATCTTTGGTTTCCACAACATCTAGGAGACTATGGATCTAGCTAATTTTGTACTAAAGAACTAAAGACATGTCTGTTCAATTAAAAAATGAATATGAAATATTTTTTAATGAGACGTATTATGTGAGATAATTTCTATACTTTTTCTCATTTCACCCTCCCAACAATTCAGAAGTTCTCCATGCATTCGCTCTCAAGAGCAAGAGGCAGCAAAGTTATACATTTGGTTGCTGCAGTTTTTAAACTTCAGGATAAGTTACAGCAACTGCATAATCACCGCATTAACAAATTTTACTTAGTAATGATACGGAAGTGCTGGGAAGGGAAGAGCATGGTCCTTTTAAATGATACGGATGCGGGGAAGGAAAACGCTGGGTAGAGGAGGGTTGGTCCCTGGCTAGGGCTCCACCCCCCGTGGACCTAGGTGAGGACAGGCATTTTCATTTTCCTGCCCAAATGTTGCAATTCCCATGACCACCCTCACCTGCCAAACCCCCAACCTGTGCCTATAAAAGATGGAGACCCTAGGAACACAGAGATAGAAGTGGCTGGACGTTGAGAGGAGCACATCAATGGAGGAACACACAAGTGGCTAGATGTCAAGAGGAATGCACCAACAGGCACCAGCATGCCAGCAGGCCACTGACTGGCAGAAAGATGTGGAGTTTGGCTGGGGCAATCAGAGGAGTGCTCGGGCCACCAAGTGGCCTGACTCTAGGGAAAAACCATCTCTCTTCTGGCTCCCCTATCTGCTGAGAGCTACTTCCACTCAATAAAACCTTGCACTCATTCTCCAAGCCCACGTGTGATCCAATTCTTCCAGTACACCAAGGCAAGAACGCAGGATACAGAAAGCCCTCTGTCCTTGTGACAAGCTAGAGGGTCTAACTGAGCTGGTTAACACAAGCCGCCTATAGATGGCAAAGTTAAGGAACACCCTGTAACACAAGCCCACTGGAGCTTCAGGAGCTGTAAACATCCACCCCTAGATGCTGCTGTGGGGTCAGAGCCCCACAAACTGCCCATCTGTATGCTCCCCTAGAGGTTTGAGCAGCAGGACACTAAAGAAGTGAGCCACTCCTCCTGTCACATATCCTGCGAGGAGAACAAGGGAACTTTTCCCATTTCACTAATAATTTTTCTATCAAATATGTAAAGTCTGATATATCTGAAAACTGAATGAGCATAAAAAGTTATCCCAATACCAATCTCAAATTAATAGTCCCTTACCTTTTATACAATGAATCTATCCATTGTTCCAAAATTTGCTTCACAGCAGCTGCAATAATGTCTTATATCTGTGGTGAAATCTTATATCTGTGAAATCCTTTTCAAGGTGATTTCACATACATAATCTCATTTGATCCTTGACAGCACCAGCTCTGTGAAGTAGAGATAGGTGATATAACCATTGTTACTTCACAAAAGCAGTAAACTGAATCATAGAGGTGCATTAACTTGCTCAATGGCCCTCAAATAAAAAAAGTGAGGCTGTAACTTAAATGAAGTCCTTTTGGTTTTCTACATGTCAACAGGAGGCTTTTCTCTGTGTACATTAAAGATAAAACGGACAGTAGATTGTAGCATTAGCTTACATTTTCTGAACTGTATATAGAAATAAATATTCCACTTAGATCTTTTGCTTTAATTATAAATATCAATCGTTTTAATGTTCATGGTATGAAAATATGATATTTGGAAAATATGGAGAAACCGTGTATCTAATGCGTGTTAAATAGAATTTTTTCTTCTTAAATGGATAAAACAGAAAACTAATTCAATATCCAGCCCTGGAAGACTCTTACTTTACAGAATTTCCCAGTCTCCTTTGCCTATATAATGCAGTATTCCTTAATTCTTGCTATGCTACGGTGTATGTGCTCCATTTCTGCATCTCTAGACAATCGACATAATCTAGTAAAGAAATTCAGCAAATTTCACAAATTTCTAGTAGGTGAAGTCTGGACCCATTCAGAAAAAAAAAAAAAAAAACACCTTGTTCTATTACCATGGAATAGTTGGAGGAATGAGTTAGTTCTGAGTTCTCTATCAATATTTATTTCCACTCTTCATCTTGAAAGTATTGGGCTCAACCAAAGATACATTGTAGGAATATTTTATTATTTACCTGGATCATTAACATCTTAATCAGCCTCCAAGTGCTATTAGCTCAACAGAAACCAGGACTCCAGTAATTCCAAAATCTGACCCTTTGAAGAAAGCCCAGAGAAAGAAAGCCCTGTGATTGTCAGACTAACCAGAGTTTGGACTTGTAGCCAATAGGTATATGCCAAGCTGAGAGGAACAGAGACTTTATAGACATAGTATAGTATTGTACCTGGCCCTCATAGGGAGATAGAGATTTTTTTTGTTGTTATTAGCAGGAGGTGGTACAGGCCATCTGTATGGAGAAAGGGCTCTAAACTGGGCCATATCTGGTGGTAAAGTTGGCTAGGAATAGGCTAAACTGACTTGACTGTTACACAATAGACACAGCAGTGATTGATATCTGGTCTAATAAAAGCTTCCAACTGTTCTGCAAAGGATAGTAAACTTGGAGAGAAATTGATCTTGGTTGGCTAGTCAGGACATGAGTTTTTCAGTTTCTGGGTGGAAGCTCTAGCCAATAAACCCATGACACCCCAAAAGTTAATCATGTCCCCTGAGGCTCAAAAGTATTAAAAGATAAACAGCTTTAAGTTGATTTATTCATTTGCTCGACAAATATTTATTAATATTCAAATACATATAAAGGATATTATGCTTCTCACTTCCATTAATATATGAGAAAAGAGTCACAATAATATGTAATGTAATGTGTCTCAATTATGCATGATGTAAGATTGGATTTAGAGATTTAGAGAATTAATAAATGAATAAGAGATAACCCCCCAAGGAGCCCTAGTGAAGAGATAGACACATAAGTAAACAATGAAGATACAGTATAAAAAGAATGATAATAGACACCTGATATGGTTTGGCTTTGTGTCCCCATACAAATATCACCTTGAATTGTAATAATCCCCATGTGTCATGGGAGGGACCTGGTGGGAGGTAATGGAATTATTGGGGTGGGTTTTCCCTGTGCTGTTCTTCTGGTAGTAAATAAGTCTCATGAGATCTGATGGTTTTATAAAGGGGAGTTCCCCTGCACACGCTCCCTCTTGCCTGCTGCCATGTAAGACATGACTTTGCTCCTCCTTTGCCTCACACTATGATTGTGAGGCCTCCCCAGCCACGTGGAACTGTGAGTCCATTAAATCTTTTTTTCTTTATAAATTACCCAGTCTTGGGTATGTCTTTATTAATGGCATAAGAAAAAACTAACAGAGATAATTGGTACCAGTAGAGTGGGATGCTGCTGTAAAGATACCCAAAAAATGTGAAAATGTCTTTGGAATTGTGTAACAGGCAGAGGTTGGAACAGTTTGGAAGGCTTGGAAGAATGGATGATGTGAAAAATTTGGAACTTCCTAGAGACTTGTTGAATGGCTTTGACCAAATGCTTCTCATCTCAGATGGAGATGAGGAACTTGTTGGGAACTGGAATAAAGGTGACTCTAGCTATGCTTTAGCAAAGAGACTTGCAGCATTTTTCCCCTGCTCTAGAGATTTGTGAAACTTTGAACTTGAGGGAGATGATTTAGGGTATCTGGCAGAAGAAATTTCTAAGCAGCAAAGCATTCAAGAGGTGACTTGGGTGCCATTAAAAGCATTCAGTTTTAAAAGGGAAATAGCATAAAGTTTTAGAAAATTTGCAGTCTGATGATGCAATAGAAAAGAAAAACCCATTTTCTGATGAGAAAATCAAGCTGGCTGCAGAAATTTGCATAAGTAACAAGGAGCCAAATGTTAACCACCAAGACAATGGGAAAAATTTCTCCAGGGAATGTCAGAGACCTTTACAGCAGCCCCTCCCATCACAGGCCCACAAGCCTAGGAGGAAAAAATGGTTTCATGGGCTGGGCCCAGGGACTCTCTGCTCTGTGCAGTCTAGGGACTTGGTGCCCTGCATTCCAGCCACTCCAGCAGAGGCTAAAAGGGGCCAAAGTACAGTTTGGGCCACGGCTTTAGAGGATGCAAACCCCAAGCCTTGGCAGCTTCCATGTTGTGTTGAGCTGGTGGGTGCACAGAAGTCAAGAATTAAGGTTTGGGAACCTCCACCTAGATTTCGGAGGATGTATGGAAATGCCCGGATGTATAGGCAGAGGTGTGTTGCAGGGGCAGAGCCCTCATGGAAAACCTCTGCTAGAGCAATGCGAAAGGGAAATGTAGAGTGTGAACCCCCACCGAGTCCCCACTGGGACACTGTCTAGTGAAGCTGTGAGAAGAGGGTAACTGTCCTCCAGATCCCAGAAAAATAGATCCACCAATAGCTTGCACCATGCACTTGGAAAAGCCACAGACACTCAACACCAGCCTATGAAAGCAGCCAGGAGGGAGGGCTATATCCTGCAAAGCCACAGGGGTGGAGCTTCCCAAGGCTGTAGGAGCCTACCTCTTGCATTAGCATGATGTGGATGTGAGACATGGAGTCAAAGGAGATCATTTTGGAGCTTTAAGATTTGACTGTCCTGCTCAATTTTGGACTTGCATGGGGCCTGTAGCCCCTTCTTTTTGGCCTATTTCTCCCAGTTGGAATGAGGGTATTTACCCAATGCCTCTACCCCCCATTATATCTAAGAAGTAACTAACTTGCTTGTGATTTTACAGGCTTGTAGGTGGAAGGGACTTGCCTTGTCTCAGATGAGACTTTGGACTGTGGACTTTTGAGTTAATGGTAAAATAAGTTAAGACTTCAGGGAACTATTGGGAAAACATGATTAGTTTTGAAATGTGAGGACATGAGATTTCAGGGGGACTGGGGTGGAATGATATGGTTTGGCTCTGTGTACCCACCCAAATCTCACTCAAAGTTTGTTTTGTAGGCAGTGGTGACTCACTAAGGATATTATGCAGATTTTCAGTTGATTCAAGGGTAAACGTAAAGTGGGGCAAGGTAAGAAGTTAATAAGATCATGTATAAACCTTAAAGCTATTATGATATATCAAGTAAGAAATTTAAAGAGACCTCACTTGGACAATTAGGCTTAGATAGGACCAAGTAGATTTGAGCGATATTCAGTGGCAAAACAAACAAACAAACAAAAACGCTACAAGTAAGGTGAGAAGGAGAGAACAGAATTAAGGATGATTCCCCCAAGCTTCTAACTTGGAAAATTTTGAATGGCAGTGGCTTTCTTTGAGAGAGAGAATATAGGTAGTGGGGTAGGCGGAAGATAACAATAAATTGAGTTTAAGATACCTGTAAGACATCTAGGAACAAGTATCCAGGAGGCAGCCACAAATAAAGCTTTAATTCTCAGGAGAGGGTTCTGAGCTAGAGGTAAGAACGTGGGGAGTCATCACCACACAAGTATTAGTTCAATCCATGGAAGTAAATCATTTCTTCACAGAAAGGGTGAAGAAAGAGAAGAAATAAGGATGAAAAAAAAGAATCCTATAGAACTCCTTCATTTATGGGGTAGTCAGAGGAAGAGAAATCAGCAAAGAGAAAGATAAGTCAGAAGGATAGGAAGAAAGTCTGGTGTGATGGAAAACCAACGAATGGAGAATTTCAACAAGGGAGTAATTAAGCTTCAAATGTCCCAGGGATGTCACATAAGATAAAGATTGATATAATATCAAAGTAACATAAATACTAAAATTTAAGAGATTTGTTAAATAACATGGTAAAAGTGATATTAAGTATTATATAGTTATTAGAAATTATGACATACTTCTATATTTATTGATGTGGGAAAATGCTTACAATATAACCAATTGAAAAAAGTAATAATATGGGATTATATTAAATAATAAGAGTAATACCTAAGTATTTCTTGAGAATTTAACTATGTTCCAGGAACTGTTATAAGTCCTTTATATCCTATTCAATCTACATTGATTGAATATTTTATTATTATTTTTACTTATTTACTTTTTTGAGACACAGTCTCACTCTGTTGCCCAGGCTGGAGTGCAGTGGCACAGTCTCAGCTCACTGCAACCTCCACCTCCCGGGTTCAAACAATTCTCGGGCCTCTGCCTCCCAAGTAGCTAGGATTACAGGTGCATGTCACCATGCCTGGCTAATTTTTGTACTTTTGTAGAGACAGGGCTTCACCAAGTTGGCCAGTCTGGTCTCAAACTCCAGACCTCAAGTGATCCACCCACCTCAGCCTCCCAAAGCAGCATTGGGATTACCGGTGTGAGACAACATGCCTGGCCTGATTGAATATTTTAATCTCTTCCAAGGCAAATGCAGTTTATCGGAAGATAAATAGGAATGCATTTTATATTACTACTCTTTAATTGTGGTTATATATATGTGTATATATATATATATATATACACATATATATATAATAAAATTGGCCATTTAATCCATTTCCAAGTGTATGATTCAGTGGCATTAATTACATTCACATTGTTGTGCAACCATAACCACTATTTCTAAAATTTTCATCATCCCAAACAGAAACTCTGTATTCATTAAACCATAACTCCCATAACTCCCTATTCTCCTTTCTGCCATCTACTGGTAACCTGTAATCTACTTCCATCTCCAAGTATTTGCCTATTCTATATATTTCAGATAAGTAAAATCACACAGTATTTGTGCTTTTATGTCTGGCTTGTTTCACTTAAGATAATGTTTTAAAAATTCATCTGGCTGGGTGTGGTGGCTCACGCCTGTAATCCCAGCACCTTGGGAGGCTGAGGTGGGTGGGTCACTTGAGGTCAGGAGTTCGAGACCAGCCTGGCCAAGAGGGTGAAACCCTATCTCTACTAAAAATACAAAAATTAGCCAGGCATGATGGCAGGCACCTGCAATCCCAGCTACTTGGGAGACTGAGGCAGGAGAATCATTTGAACCCAGGAAGTGGAGGCTTCAGTGAGCCAAGATCGCACCACTGCACTCCAGCCTGGGTGACAGAGCAAGACTTTGTATAAAAAAAAAAAAAAGAAAGAAAGAAAAAAGTCATCCATGTTGTAGCATGTATCAGAACTTTACTCACTTTTATGGCTGAATAATATTTTATTGTATGTATATACCACACTTTGTTTACCCATTCATCTCTTGATGGACATGTGTTGTTTTCACTTTTTGGCTACTGTGAATAATGCTGCTATGAACATTAGTACACTTGTATCTGTCTGAATCCCTGTTTTTAGTTCTTTTGGATATATACTTAGGAGTGGAATTTCTGCGTCATATGTTAATTCTATGTTTAATTTTTTGAGTAATTGCCAGATTGTTTCTACAGTGGCTGCATCATTTTATGTTCCCACCAGCAATGTATGAGGGTTCCAGTTTCTTCAAGGGTATGCATTTTTAATGATAAAATTTAAAAAATTAAAAAACAATGGGTGAAGTCCTTCTGAAGGTTTCTCATTTTCATTAACATATGAGGAAAGAGTCTCAATAATATTGATAACAGTAGCAATATTTGTAGATTTCTCAATGTGAGGGAAGAAAAATGGTGTTTTTTTGCATGTATAGGCTTAAAAAGCATGAAAATATATATGGAGTGCTAATAAGGGAAAGGAGTCAGGCTGGTGGGACCAGGGAAGAATAAAGAGAAAGCAGACAAGCTATAAGTCTGCCTTTCTTCATGGTCCAGAACACGTAGCCCTCCTTTGCAAATAATTCACAATCTTTCTGTACTCAACTATTAGCAGACCCCTGCAAGTTAGCTCACTGCAACTTTGGCATCTTCAGTACTCAACAAAGCCCTATTCAGCATACAGTATAAACACTATTCTATAAAATCCCCAGCAATCCTTTGTTTCTTTACAGTTCGCTTCTCTTCTACTGATCCTGCCTGTTGCCTTTTTGCAATGTATTTTGCTACTTTCTCTAATAAATCCTCCTTTCTTTACCTAAAACTATCTTTTAATTCATTTACCCCTGTGCCACTGGCACTGATAGTCATTGCTCCCCTGCAACAAGATATATATCAAAAATTAAAAGAGTTGTTTTCTTATTTAGAAAACCCCATTGCCTCAGCCCAAAATCTCCTTAAGCTGATGGGCATCTTCAGCAAAGTCTCAGGATTCAAAATCAATGTGCAAAAATCACACGCATTCCTATACGCCAATAATAGAGAGCCAAATCATGAGTGAACTCCCATTCACGATAGTTACAAAGAGAATAAAATACCTAGGAATACAACTTACAAGGGATGTGAAGGACCCCTTCAAAGAGAACTACAAACCACGGCTCAAGAAAATAAGATAGGACACAAACAAATGGAAAAACATTCCATGCTCAGGGAAAGGAAGAATGAATATTGTAAAAATGGCCACAATGCCCAAACTAATTTATAGATTCAATGCTATCCCCAACAATCTATCATTGACTTTCTTCACAGAATTAGAAAAAACTACTTTAAAGTTTATATGGAACCAAAAAGAGCCCACGTAGCCAGACAATCCTAAGCAAAAAGAACAAAGCTGAAGGCATCACGCTACCTGACCTCAAACTACACTGCAAGGCTTCGAGTAACCAAAACAGCATGGTACTGGTACCAAAACGGATATATAGACCAATGGAACAGAACACAGGCCTCAGAAATAATGCCACACAGCTACAACCATCTGATCTTTGACAAACCTGACAAAAACAATCAATGGGAAGAGGATTCCCTATTTAATAAATGGTGTTGGGAAAACTAGCTAGCCATAGCATATGCAGAAAACTGAAACTGGACCCCTTCCTTACACCTTATACAAAAATTAACTCAAGATGGATTAAAGACTTAAACATAAGACCTAAAACAATAAAAACCCTAGAAGAAAACTTAGGCAATACCATTCAGGACATAGGCGTGGGCAAGGACTTCATGACTAAAACACCAAAAGCAATGACAACAAAAGCCAAAATTGACAAATGGGATCTAATTAAACTAAAGAGTTTCTGCAAAGCAAAAGAAACTATCATCAGAATGAACAGGCAACCTATAGAATGGGAGAAAATTTTTGCAATGTATCCATCTGACAAAGGGCTAATACCCAGAATCTAGAAGGGAAATAAACAAATTTACAAGAAAAAACAACCCCATCAAAGAATGGGCAAAGGATATGAACAGACACTTCTCAAGAGAAGACATTTATGTGGCCAACAAACATATGAAAAAAAAAGGCTCATCATCACTAGTCATTAGAGAAATGCAAATCAAAACCACAATGAGATACCATCTCACACCAGGTAGAATGGCCATCATTAAAAAGTCAGGAAACAACACATGCCAGAGAGGATGTGGAGAAATAGGAATGCTTTTACACTATTGGTGGGAGTGTAAATTGGTTCAACCATTGTGGAAGATAGTGTGGCAATTCCTCAAGGATCCAGAACCAGAAATACCATTTGACCCAGCAATCCCACTACTGGGTATATTCCCAAAGGATTACAAATCATTCTACTATAAAGACACATGCACACATATGTTTATTGCAGCACTGTTCACAATAGCAAAGACTTGCAGCCAACCCAAATGCCCATCAATGATAGACTAGATAAAGAAAATGTGGTACATATACACCATGGAATACTATGCAGCCACAGAAAGGATGAGTTCATGTCCTTTTAAGGGACATGGATAAAGCTGGAAACCATCATTCTCAGCAAACTAACACAGGAACAGAAAACCAAACACCACATGTTCTCACTCATAAGTGGGAGTTGAACAATGAGAACACACGGACACAGGGAAGGGAACATCACACACTGGGGCCTGTCAGGGGGTGGGAGGTTAGCAGAGGGATAGCATTAGGAGAAATACCTACTATGTAGGTAATGAGTTGATGGGTGCAGCAAACCACCATGGCATGTGTATACCTATGAAACATACCTGCATGTTCTGCACATGTATCCCAGAACTTAAAGTATAATTTAAAAAAAAAAAAGAGTAGTTTTCTTCATGGTGAGATTGTAAATGCTTTTGTAATTTTCTTCTTTTTGTATTTCTGTTTTTCTACAATGGAAATGATTTATTTGTGGGATATAAGAAAATTGACAATTTTCCATTGGATTTGAAAGTAGTAAAACATCTGTAGCCAAAATAAGAACAAAATCTCAGCTGACATTTTTGTAATAATTGACAAGCTGATTCTGAAATTCATATGGAGTCACAAGAAACACAGAATGGCTAAAACAATACTTAAAGAAAGAATAAAATAGAGAATTTACACTTACTGATTTCAAATCTTACTACAAAGCAAACGTAATCATCACAGTGTGGTTCTAGCACAAGTATGGACAGATAGATCAATGAAATAGATTTGAGAGTCCAGAAATGAACCCATACATCTATGATCAGCTAATTTCAGAAAAGCATACCAAGATACTTTGTTATGGTATGAATTGTGTTCCCCAGAAATTCATATGTTGAAGTCAAACCCCCTAGTGCCTCAAAATGTGGCCTTATTTGGAAATATGGTTGTTTCCAATATAATTAGTTAAGATGAGGTTAAAATGGAGTAGGATGGATCTCTATTGCAAGATGACAGGTGTACTTTTAAATAAATTTGGACACAAACACACATACAGGGAGAATGCCATGTGAATATTGGAGTTATGCTGCCACAAGACAAAAAAACTACCAGAAACTATGAGAAAGCTAGGAAAAATCCTCCTACCAGAAGCTAGGGGAAGCCTGGAACAAATCCTCTCCTAGTCCATTCAAAGGGAGCATGGCCTTGGCAGCACTTTAACGTGAAACATCTGGCCTCCAGAACTGTAAGACAATAAACTGTTTAAGCCATCTAGTGTGTGGTAACTTGTTATAGTAGACCTAGGAAATTAATATACCGTTCAATGGGGAACAGTCTTACCCACAAATGGTGCTGAGACAACTAAACAGGCATATGTAAAAAATTGAAATTGAACTCTTACCTCACACTACTAAATCAAGATGGTTCAATTACCTAAATGTAAAAATAATATAAAATTATTAGAAGAAAACAAAAGGACACATCTTTATGATCTAGGATTTGGTAAAAGACTCTTAGACAGGACATAAAAAACATGAACAATAAAAAATAAGCTTTATCAAAATCAGAAGCTTTTATGCATCAAAAGATACCATCAAGAAAGTAAAAAGAGGCCACTGACCACAGCTCTTTCTTAAGGGACAGATACGGCTCATCAGACGGCAACCATATTTGGGAAAATAATTGAAGAAAACTTCCTTGGGCTTGCTAGAGATCTAGACATTCCAATACAAGAAGCTCAAAGAACAACTGGAAAATTCATTATGAAAACAACATCACCTAGCCACATAGTCATCAGGTTATCTGAAGTCAAGGTAAAAGGAAGAATTTTGAGATCTGTGAGCCAAAAGCATCAGGTAACCTATAAAGAAAAATCTATCAGATTAACTGCAGATTTCTCAGCAGAAATCCTACAAGCCAGAAGGGATTCAGATTCTATCTTTAGTCTTCTTAAACAAAGCAATTATCAGCCAGGAATTTTCTATCCAGTGAAACTAAACTTCATAAATGAAGAAAAGATAAAGACTTTTTCAGACAAACAAATTCCAGGAGAATTTGCCACTACCAAGCCAGCATTATAAGAACTGCTGAAAGCAGCTCTAAATCTTGAAACAAATCCTTGAAATACACCAGAATATAACCTCCTTAAAGCATAAATCTCACAGGGCCTATAAAAAATAACACAATGAATAAAAAAACAAGGTATTCAGGCAACAATTAGCAAAACGAATAGCATCTCACATCTCAATAGTAACATTGAATGTAAATGACCTAAATGTTCCACTTAAAAAATAAAGAATGGCAGAATGGATAAGAATTAACCAATCAAGTATCTGCTGTCTTCAAGAGACTCACGTAACACATAAGGACTCACATAAACTTAAGGTAAAAAGGTGTAAAAAGACATTCTATGTAAATGGTAACCAAAAGTGAGCAGGAGTAGCTATTCTTATATTAAACAAAACAAACAGCAAAGCAACAGCAGTCTAAAAAGAAAAAGGAGGACATTATATAATGATAAAAGGCTTTTTCCAAGAGGAAAATATCACAGTCCTAAATATATATGCACCTAACACTGGAGCTCCCAGATTTACAAAACAATTACTACTAGACCTAAGAAATGAGATAGACAGCAACACAATAATAGTGGGGGAATTCAATACTCCACTGACAGCACTAGATCAGTCACCAAGACAAAAAGTTAGCAAAGAAACAATGGATTTAAACTATACACTAGAACAAATGGACTTAACAGTTACTTACAGAACATTCTACCCAACAGCTGCAGAATATACATTCTATTCATCAGTGCATGGAACGTTCTCCAAGATAGACCATATGATACACCACAAAACAAGTTTTAATAAATTTAAGAAAATCTAAATTATATCACACTGTTTCTCAGAACACAGTGGAATAAAATTGAAAACAAATTCCAAAAGAAACCTTCAAAACCATGCAACTACATGGAAATTAAATAACCTGCTTCTGAATGATCATTGGGTCAACAGCGAAATCAAGATGGAAATTTAAAAATTTTTCAAACTTAACAATAATAGTGGCACAGCCTACCAAAACCTCTGGGATACAGCAAAGGATGTGCTAAGAGGAAAGTTCATAGCCTTCAATGCCTACCTCAAAAAGTCTGAAGGAGCACAAATGGACAATCCAAGGTCACACCGCAACAAACTGGAAAAACAAGAGCAAACCAAATCCAAACCCACCAGAAGAAAAGAAATAACCAAGATCAGAGCAGAACTACATGGAATTGAAAAAAAGACACAAAAGATAAATGAAACATAAAGCTGGTTCTTTGAAAAGATAAATAAAATTTATAGACCATTAGCAAGATTAACCATAAAAAGAAGAGAGAAGATCCAAATAAGCTCAATTAGAAATGAAATGGGAGATATTACAAGTGATACCACAGAAATAGAAAAGATCATTCAAGGCTACTATGAACACACCTGTATGCACACAAGTTAGATAACCTAGAAGAGATGGATAAATTCCTGGAAATATACAACCCTCCTAGCTTAAAACAGGAAGAATTAGAAACCCTGAACAGACCAATAACAAGGAGCAAGATTGAAATGGTAATAAAAAATTACCATAAAAAAAGGTTCCAGATGGATTCACGACTGAAATCTGTCAAACATTCAAAGAAGAATTGGTACCAATCCTATTGACACTATTCCACAAGGTAGAACAAGGAGTCCTCCCTAAATCATTCTACAGAGCCAGTATTACCCTAATACCAAAACCAGAAAAGGACATAACAAAAAGAGAAAACTACAGACCAATATCTCTGATGAACATAGATGCAAAAAGCTTCAATAAAATACTAGCTAACAAAATCCAACAGCATATAGAAAGGATAATCCACCATGATCAAGTGAGTTTTATACCAGGGATGCAGGGATGTTTTAACATACAAAACTCAATAAATGTGATACACCACATAAACAGAAATATAAGTAAAAATCACATGATCATCTCAATAGATGGAGAAAAACCATTTGACAAAAACCAGCATCATTTTATGATTACAACCCTCAGGAAAATCAGCATACAAGGTACATACCTCAATGTAATAAAAGTTATCTATGATAAACACACATTCAACATAATACTGAATGGTGTAAGGTTGAAAACATTCCCTCTGAGAATTGGAACAAGACAAGACTGCTCACTCTCACCACTTCTATTCAACATAGTACTGGAATTCCTAGCCAGAGCAATCAGACAAGAGGAAGAAATAAATAAAGGGAATCCAAATAACTAAAGAGAAAATCAAACTGTCTGCTTGTTAATAATCTGACTGCATACACAGAAAACCCTAAAGACTCATCCAAAAAGCTCCTAGCACTCATAAATTCAGCAAAATTTTAGGATACAAAATTAATGTACACAAATCAGTAGCTCTGCTGTACTGCAGCAGTGACCAAAATGATAATCAAATAAAGAACTAAACCCCTTTTACAATAGCTACAAAAAAATTAAAATAAAATACTTAGGAATATACCTAACCAAGGAGGTGAAAGACCTCTACAAGAAAAACTACAAAACACTGCTGAAGGAAATCATAGATGACACAAACAAATGAAAACACTTTCCATGTTCATAGATGGGTAGAATCAACATTGTGAAAATGATCATACTGCCAAAAGCAATCTACAAACTCAATGCAATTCCCATTAAAATATCACCATCATTTCTTCATAGAACTAGAAAAAACAATCTTAAAATTAATATGGAACCAAAAAAGAGCCTGCATAGCCAAGGCAAGACTAAGCAAAAAGAATAAATCTGGAAGTATCACAATACTCGACTTCAAACTATACTATAAGGCCATATTCATTTAAAAAAAGCATGGTACTTGCATAAAAATAGGCACATAGACCAATGGAACCAAAGACAGAACCCAGAAATAAAGCCAAATACTTACAGCCAACTGATGTTCGACAAAGCAAATGAAACATATAGTGGGGAAAGGACACCCTTTTCAACAAATGGTGCTGAGATAATTGGCAAGCCCCATGTAGGAGAATGAAACTGGATCCTCATCTCTAACCTTATACAAAAATCAACTCAGGATGGATCAAGGACTTATATCTAAGAACTGAAACTGTAAAAATTTTAGAAAATAACATTGAAAAAAGCCTTCTAGATATTGACTTAGGCAAAAACATTATGACCAAGAACTCAAAAGCAAATGCAACAAAAACAAAAATAAGTAGCTGGGACTTAATTAAACTAAACAGCTTTTGCACAGGAAAAAAAAAATGTCAGCAGAGTAAATAGACCACCCACAGAGTGTGAGAAAACCTTCACAATCTATACATGCAACAAAGGACTAATATGCAGAATCTTCAAGAAACTCAAACAAATTAGCAAGAAAAAAGCAAACAATCCCATCAAAATGCAGACTAAGGACATGAATAGACAATTCTCAAAAGAATATATACAAATAGCCAACGAATGTATGAAAAAAATGCAAAACATCATTAATGATCAGGAAAATGCAAATCAAAACCACAATGCAATGTCACCTTACTTCTGCAAGAATGGCCATAATCAAAAAATCAAAAAATAATAGATCTTGTCGTGGATATGGTGAAAAGGGAACACTTCTACACTGCCGTTGGGAATGTAAACAAGTACAACCACTATGAAAACAGTGTGAAGATTCCTTAAAGAACTAAAAATAGTATCGGGTGGAGCCAAGATGGCCGAATAGGAACAGCTCCGGTCTACAGCTCCCAGTGTGAGTGACGCAGAAGATGGGTGATTTCTGCATTTCCATCTGAGGTACTAGACTCATCTCACTAGGGAGTGCCAGACAGTGGGTGCAGGACAGTGGGTGCAGCACACCGTGCACGAGCTGAAGCAGGGCGAGGCATTGCCTCACTCGGGAAGCATAAGGGGTCAGTGAGTTCCCTTTCCTAGTCAAAGAAAGGGGTGAGAGAGGGCACCTGGAAAATCGGGTCACTCCCACCCTAATACTCTGCTTTTCCAATGGGCTTAAAAACTGGCACACCAGGAGATTATATGCCACACCTGGCTCAGAGGGTCCTACGCCCATGGAGTCTCGCTGATTGCTAGCACAGCAGTCTGAGATCAAACTGCAAGGTGGCAGTGAGGCTGGGGGAGGGGCGCCTGCCATTGCCCAGGCTTGATTAGGTAAACAAAGCAGCTGGGAAGCTCGAACTGGGTGGAGCCCAACACAGCTCAAGGAGGCCTGCCTGCCTCTGTAGGCTCCACCTCTGGGGGCAGGGCACAGACAAACAAAAAGACAGCAGTAACCTCTGCAGACTTAAATGTCCCTGTCTGACAGCTTTGAAGAGAGTAGTGGTTCTCCCAACATACAGCTGGAAATCTGAGAATGGGCAGATTGCCTCCTCAAGTGGGTCCTTGACCCCCGAGCAGCCTAACTGAGAGGCACGCCCAGTAGGGGTAGACTGACACCTCACACGGCCGGGTACTCCTCTGAGACAAAACTTCCAGAGGAACAATCAGGCAGCAGCATTTGTGGTTCACCAAGATGCACTGTTCTACAGCCACCACTGTTCTGCAGCCACCACTGCTGATGCCCAGGCAAACAGGGTATGGAGTGGACCTCTAGCAAGCTCCAACAGACCTGCAGCTGAGGGTCCTGTCTGTTAGAAGGAAAACTAACAAACAGAAAGGACATCCACACCAAAAACCCTTCTGTACGTCACCATCATCAAAGACCAAAAGTAGATAAGCCACAAAGATGGGGAAAAAACAGATCAGAAAAACTGGAAACTCTAAAAAGCAGAGGGCCTCTCCTCCTCCAAAGGAATGCAGCTCCTCACCAGCAATGGAACAAAGCTGGATGAAGAATGACTTTGACAAGCTGAGAGAAGAAGGCTTCAAACGATCAAACTACTACGAGCTACAGGAGGAAATTCAAACCAACGGCAAAGAAGTTAAAAACTTTGAAAAAAAAATTGAACGAATGGATAACTAGAATAACCAATGCAGAGAAGTCTTTAAAGGAGCTGATGGAGCTGAAAGCCAAGGTTTGAGAACTACGTGAAGAATGCAGAAGCCTCAGGAGCCGATGTGATCAACTGGAAGAAAGGGTATCAGTGATGGAAGATGAAATGAATGAAATGAAGTGAGAAGGGAAGTTTAGAGAAAAAAGAATAAAAAGAAACGAAAAAAGCCTCCAAGAAATGTGGGACTATGTGAAAACACCAAATCTACATCTGATTGGTGCACCTGAAAGTGATGGGGAGAATGGAACCAAGTTGGAAAACACTCTGCAGGATATTATCCAGGAGAACTTCCCCAATCTAGCAAGGCAGGCCAACATTCAGATTCAGGAAACACAGAGAATGTCACAAAGAAACTCCTCGAGAAGAACAACTCCAAGAAACATAATTGTCAGATTCACCAAAGTTGAAATGAAGGAAAAAATGTTAAGGGCAGCCAGAGAGAAAGGTTGGGTTACCCACAAAGGGAAGCCCATCAGACTAACAGCTGATCTCTCAGCAGAAACTCTACAAGCCAGAAGAGAGTGGGGGCCGATATTCAACATTCCTAAAAAAAAGAATTTTCAACCCAGAATTTCATATCCAGCCAAACTAAGCTTCATAAGTGAAGGAGAAATAAAATACTTTACAGACAAGCAAATGCTGAGAGATTTTGTCACCACCAGGCCTGCCCTAAAAGAGCTCCTGAAGGAAGCACTAAACATGGAAAGGAGCAACCAGTACCAGCCACTGCAAAAACATGCGAAAATGTAAAAACCATCAAGGCTAGGACAAAAAGTGCATCAACTAACGACCAAAATAACCAGCTGGCATCATAATGACAGGACCAAATACACACATAACAACATTAACTTTAAATGTAAATGGGCTAAATGCTCCAATTAAAAGACACAGACTGGCAAATTGGATAAACAGTCAAGACCCATCAGTATGCTGTATTCAGGAAACCCATCTCATGTGCAGAGACACACATAGGCTCAAAATAAAGGGATGGATGAAGATCTACCAAGCAAATGGAAAACAAAAAAAGACAGGGGTTGCAATCCTAGTCTCTGATAAAACAGACTTTAAACCAACAAAGATCAAAAGAGACAAAGAAGGACATTACATAATGGTAAAGGGATCAATTCAACAAGAACAGCTAACTCTCCTAAATATATATGCACCCAATAGAGGGGCACCCAAATTCATAAAGCAAGTCCTTGGTGACTACAAAGAAACTTAGACTCCCACACAATAATAATGGGAGACTTTAACACCCCACTGTCAACATTAGACAGATCAACGAGACAGAAAGATAACAAGGATATCCAGGAATTGAACTCAGCTCTGCACCAAGCAGACCTAATAGACATCTACAGAGCTCTCCACCCCAAAACAACAGAATATACATTTTTTGCAGCACGACACCACACCTATTACAAAATTGACCACATAGTTGGAAGTAAAGCTATCCTCAGCAAATGAAAAAGAACAGAAATTATAACAAACTGTCTCTCAGACCACAGTGCAATCAAACTAGAACTCAGGACTAAGAAACTCACTCAAAACCGCTGAACTACATGGAAACTGAACAACCTGCTCCTGAATGACTACTGGATACACAACAAAATGAAGGCAGAAATAAAGACGTTCTTTGAAACCAACGAGAACAAAGACACAACATACCAGAATCTCTGGGACACATTCAAAGCAGTGTGTAGACGGAAATTTATAGCACTAAATGCCCACAAGAGAAAGCAGGAAAGATCCAAAATTGACACCCTAACATCACAATTAAAAGAACTAGAAAAGCAAGAGCAAACACATTCAAAAGCTAGCAGAAGGCAAGAAATAATGAAAATCAGAGCAGAACTGAAGGAAATAGAGACACAAAAAACCCTTCAAAAAATTAATGAATCCAGGAGCTCGTTTTTTGAAAAGATCAACAAAATCGATAGACCGCTAGCAAGACTAATAAAGAAGAAAAGAGAGAAGACTCAAATAGACGCAATAAAAAATGATAAAGGGGATATCACCACAGATCCCACAGAAATACAAACTATCATCAGAGAATACTACAAACACCTCTACGCAAATAAACTAGAAAATCTAGAAGAAATGGATAAATTCCTGGAGACATACACCCTCCCAAGACTAAACCAGGAAGAAGTTGAATCTCTGAATAGACCAACAACAGGCTCTGAAATTGAGGCAATAATAAATAGCTTACCAACCAAAAAAAGTCCAGGACCAGATGGATTCACAGCCGAATTCTACCAGAGGTACAGGGAGGAACTGGTACCATTCCTTCTGAAACTATTCCAATCAATAGAAAAAGACGGAATCCTCCCTAACTCATTTTATGAAGCCAGCATCATCCTAATACCAAAGCCTGGGGCAGAGACACAGCAAAAAAAGATAATTTTAGACCAATATCCTTGATGAACATTGTTGCAAAAATCCTCAATAAAATAATGGCAAACCAAATGCAGCAGCACATGAAAAAGCTTATCCATCAATATCAAGTGGGCTTCATCCCTGGGATGCAAGGCTGGTTCAACATACGAAAATCAATAAATGTAATCCAGCATATAAACAGAACCAAAGACAAAAACCACATGATTATCTCAATAGAGGCAGAAAAAGCCTTTGACAAAATTCAACAATGCTTCATGCTAAAAACTCTCAATAAATTAGGTATTGATGGGACATATTTCAAAATAATAAGAGCTATCTATGACAAACCCACAGCCAATATCATACTGAATGGGCAAAAACTGGAAGCATTCCCTTTGAAAACTGGCACAAGACAGGGATGCCCTCTCTCACCACTCCTATTCAACATAGTGTTGGAAGTTCTGGCCAGGGCTATTAGACAGGACAAGGAAATAAAGGGTATTCAATTAGGAAAAGAGGAAGTCAGATTGTCCCTGTTTGCAGATGACATGATTGTATATCTAGAAAAACCCATCATCTCAACCCAAAATCTCCTTAAGCTGATAAGCAACTTCAGCAGTGTCTCAGGATACAAAATCAATGTACAAAAATCACAAGCATTCTTATCCACCAATAACAGACAAACAGAGAGCCAAATCATGAGTGAACTCCCATTCACAATTGCTTCAAAGAGAATAAAATACCTAGGAATCCAACTTACAAGGGATATGAAGGACCTCTTCAAGGAGAACTACAAACCACTGCTCAATGAAATAAGAGAATACAAACAAATGGAAGAACATTCCATGCTCATGGATAGGAAGAATCAATATCATGAAAATGGCCATATTGCCCAAGGTAATTTATAGATTCAATGCCATCCCCATCAAGCTATGAATGACCTTCTTCACAGAATTGGAAAAAACTACTTTGAAGTTCCTATGGAACCAAAAAAGGGCCCGCATTGCCAAGTCAATCCTAAGCCAAAAGAACAAAGCTGGAGGCATCACGCTACCTGACTTCAAACTATACTGCAAGGCTACAGTAACCAAAAGAGCATGGCACTGGTACCAAAACAGAGACATAGATCAATGGAACAGAACAGAGCCCTCAGAAATAATGCGACATATCTACAATCATCTGATCTTTGACAAACCTGACAAAAACAAGCAATGGGGAAACAATTCCCTATTGAATAAATGGTGCTGGGAGAACTGGCTAGCCGTATGTAGAAAGCCGGAACTGGATCCCTTCCTTACACCTTATACAAAAACTAATTCGAGATGGATTAAAGATTTACATATTAGACCTAAAACCATAAAAACCCTAAAAGAAAACCTAGGCAATACCATTCAGGACATAGGCATGGGCAAGGACTTCATGTCTAAAACACCAAAAGCAATGGCAACAAAAGCCAAAATTGACAAATGGGATCTAATTAAACTAAAGAGCTTCTGCACAGCAAAAGAAACTACCATCAGAGTGAACACGCAACCTACAAAATGGGAGAAAATTTTTGCAATCTACTCATCTGACAAAGGGCTAATATCCAGAATCTACAATGAACTCAAACAAATTTACAAGAAAAAAAAAAACAACCCCATGAAGAAGTGGGTGAAGGATATGAACGGACACTTCTCAAAAGAAAACATTTATGCAGCCAAAAAACACATGAAAAAATGCTCATTATCACTGGCCATCAGAGAAATGCAAATCAAAACCACAATGAGATACCATCTCACACCAGTTAGAATGGCGATCATTAAAAAGTCAGGAAACAACAGGTGCTGGAGAGGATGTGGAGAAATAGGAACACTTTTACACTGTTGGTGGGACTGTAAAATAGTTCAACCATTGTGGAAGTCAGTGTGGTGATTCCTCAGGGATCTAGAACTAGAAATACCATTTGACCCAGCCATCCCATTACTGGGTATATACCCAAAGGATTATAAATCATGCTGCTATAAAGACACATGCACACGTATGTTTATTGCGGCACTATTCACCATAGCAAAGACTTGGAACCAACCCAAATGTCCAACAACGATAGACTGGATTAAGAAAATGTGGCACATATACACCATGGAATACTATGCAGCCGTAAAAAATGAAGAGTTCATGTCCTTTGTAGGGACATGGATGAAACTGGAAACCATCATTCTCAGCAAACTCTCTCAAGGACAAAAAACCAAACACCACATGTTCTCACTCATAGGTGGGAATTGAACAATGAGAACACATGGGCACAGGAAGGGGAACATCACACTCCGGGGCCTGTTGTGGGGTGGGGGAAGGGGGTAGGGATAGCATTAGGAGATATACCTAATGCTAAATGATGAGTTAATGGGTGCAGCACACCAACATGGCACATGTATACATATGTAACTAACCTGCACATTGTGAACATGTACCCTAAAGCTTAAAGTATAATAATAATAAAATAAAATAAAGAAAATTTATCAACATTGTGTATTATACAGGATAATTGATAAAAATATTATAAAGTGTTTGTAGCAGCTGGGCTTGGAAAGTCACCTTTCTGATGTAATAATAGCTAAGCCCCTGTGAATATGCATTTCTGTTTCATAACCGATTGCCTGTAGAGCATACCTGAAATGAATATCACGTATTTACATAAAAAAAAGAACTAAAGGTAGAACTACCATTTGATTCACCAATCCCACTACTGGTTATCTACCTAGAAGAAAATAATTTATTATATGAAAAAGATACCTGCACCTGCAGATTTATAGCAGCACAATTTGCAATTGCAAAAATATGGAACCAGCCCATATGCCCTTCAATCAATGAGTAGATAGAGAATTTGATACATATATATGTGTATGTATATGTGTATACACATATGTATATATGTGTGTGTATATATATATGATGGAATACAACTCAGCAATAAAAAGGAACGAAATAATGGCATTCACAACAACTTTGATGGGACTAGAGACTAATATTCTAAGTAAAGTAACTCACGAATGAATAATCAAACATTGTATGTTCTCACTTATAATGGGAGCTAAGCTATGAGGATGCAAAGACATAAGGATAATACAGTGGACTTGGGGGACTCGGGGGATGGGTGAAGGGGGGTGAAGGATAAAAGACTATAAATTGGGCTCAGTGTGTACTGCTCAGTTGATGGGTGCACCAAAATCTCAGAAATCACCACTAAAGAACTTACTTATGTAACAAAATATCATCTGTTCCCCAAAAATGTATGGAAATAAATTTTTTTACAAAAGTAAAAAGATAGCACAGAGAAAAGAAGAATATATATATATGCAAATAATATACCTAATAAGGGATTAATATCCAGAATAGGTAAAGTGTTCCTGCAACTCAACAACAACCAAAAAAACAACACAATTCAAAAATAGGCAAAAGACATTTGAACAGACATTTCTCCAAAGAAGATATACAATTAGCCAATAAGAACATGAAAAGATGTTCAAAATCATTAGTTGTTAGGAAAATGCAACTCAAAACCACAATTTATCACTTCATATCCACTAGAATGGTGCTATATTCTGAGTGTTTGTGTCCACCCAAGACTCACATGTTGAAACCTAACTCCCCAGTGCAATAGTATTAAGAAGTGTGGTCTTTAAAAAGTAATTACAGCCCCCTATGAAAGGGATTAGTGTCCTTATAAAAGAGGCCAGAAAGAGTTTATTTTCCTCTTGTACTATGTGAAGGCACATAAAAGGCATTATCTGTGAGTGGGCCCTCTCCAGACACCAAATCTGCAGATGACTTGACCTTGGACTTCCCAGCCTACAGCACTGTAAGAAATAAAATTGTATTGTTTATAAATTACCCAGGCTAAGATATTTTCTTCAAGTGGCCTGAAGGAACTAAGACAGATGGCTACTATTAAGAAAAATTAATTGTTGGTGAGTATGTGCAAATATTGGTATTCTACTGCATTTCTGGTGGAAATATAACCATGTAATCACTGTGGAAAACAGTTTGGAGACTCCCCAATGAGGTAAACATAGAATTACCATATGACCTAGCAATTCTACTCAAACATACCAAACCCTGAGAAATGAAAACATATATCAACAAAGAAACTTGTAATGTGTGTTTATAACAGCATTTTTTATAACAGTCGAAAGGTGAAAACAACTCAAATTCTTCCTCAATAGATGAATGGATGGACAAAATGTGGTACATTCATACAACGGAAAATAGTTTGACCATAAAAATAATTGAAGTACTAATACATGTTACATGAACGAACCTTGAAATGCAACATGAATGAACCTTGAAAATATTACGCTATGTGAATAAAGCCTGTCGCAAAAGGCCAGATATTGTATTATTCCATTCATATGAAAGTCCAAAACAGAGGAATTTATAGATACAAAAAGTACACTAGTGGTTGTTTAGGGTTGGAGGAAGGCAAATGGGTTGTTACTGGGGTGATATCTAAAGAATACATGGTTTCTTTTTGAGGTGATGAAATGCTTTAAAATTGACTGTGGTGATGTTTGCACGTACCTGTAATATACCAGAAATATCAAATTATATATTTTAAAGGGGTTGTTTGTATGGTATGCGAATTATATCTCAATAAAGCTGTTTTTAAAAATTAGTAACTCATCCAAAAATCTATATAGAATCTCAAGGGACCCTGAACAACCGAAAATATCTTGAAAAAGAAAAATGAAGTTAGAGGTCTCACACTTCTTGATTCCAAATTATAAAACTACCATAATCAAAATAGCATGGTAGTGGCATAAAGTCATACATATAGCCCAATGTAGTAGGATAGAAAGTCCAAAAAATAGACCTTCACATATATGATGAAATGATTTTTGACAAGGGTGTCAAGACCATTCAATAGAAAAAGGATGGTGTCTTCAACAAATAGTGCTGGGAAACACTGAATCCAAATGCAAAATAATGAAGTTGGACCCTCACCTTACAACATACACAAAAAATAACTAAATTTGGATAAAAGACAAAGATTTAATATTTAAAATTATAAAAATCCTAGAAGAAAATATTAAGGAAAAGCCTCATGACATTGGATTTGGTAAGGATTTCTTGAATATTACACCAAAAGTACAGGTACCAAAAGCAAAAATAGACAAACTGGACTACATTAAAACAAAAAGTTGCTGTATATCAAAAGAAACAATCAACAGAGTAAAAAACTTATGGAATGGGATGAAATATTTGTGCACCATATATTTGAATAAAGAGTTAACATCCAGAAAAATTTAAAACGTTTACAACTCAACAACAAGAAATCAAATCACTTGATTTTTTTAATAGGCAAAACATTTGAATATACATTTTTGAAAGATTATATAATAATTGCAACAAGCATATGAAAATGCTTAACATCACTTATTAGGGAAATGCAAATCAAGAAAAGATGAAATATCATCTCATGCCCATTAAGATGGATGCCTATTTAAAAAAAAAAAACAGAAAGTAACAAGTTTTGGAGGATGTGGAAAAATTAGAACCCTTGTGCACTGTTGGGAAGAACCTAAAATGGTTTACTTGCTATGAAAAACAGTATGATGGTTGCTTACACAATTAAATAGAATTACCACATGACCCAGAAATTCCGCTTCTGGGTATATATACAAAAGAGTTGAAAGTGGGCTCTTGGAAAAATATTTTCACACCCATGTTCATAGCAGCACTATGCACAGTTGCTAAGATGTGGAAGCAACCCAAATATCCTTTGACAGATAAATGGATAAAGAAAATGTGGCACATACATATACTGGAATATTATTCAGCCTTAAAAAGGAAGGAAATTCTGACAAATGTTAGCATGAATGAACTTTGAGGACACATGCTATGTAAAATAAATCCGTCAAAAAAGACAAATACTATATTTTCCACTTATATGAGGTATCTAGAGTAATGAAATTTATAGAAAGAGAAAGAATGGTATCTGCCAGGGCTGGTGAGCAGAGACAATTAAGATTTTTTGTCTAATGGGTATAGAATTCAAGTTGTACAAGATGAAAATTTCTTGAGAATGGTGCACAACAATGTGAACACTACTGAACTGTACACTTAGAAGTGGTTAATATGACAAAGGTGACATTACAACTAATCCCACAGAAATACAAAAAGTCCTCAGAGACTATTATGAATACCTTCATGCACACAAAACAGAAAATCTAGAGAAAATAGATAAATTCCTGGAAATGCAATCTCCCAAATTTGAATCGGGAAGAGATTGAAATCCTAAACAGATCAATATCTAATTCCAAAATTGAATCAGTAATAAAAATATATACTAACAAAAAGAGCCCTGGACCAGATGAATTTGCAGCCAAATTCTATTAGACATACAAAGAACAGCTATTACCAATTTTTCTAAAGCTATTCCACAAAAATCAAAGAGATGGAACTCCTGCATAACTCATTCTGTGAAGCCAACATCACCCTGATACCCAAACTTGGCAAAGACACAATGAAAAAAGAAAACTATAGGCCAATATCCCTGATAATCATAGATGCAAAAATCCTTAATGAAATACTAGCAAACAAAATTCAGCAGCACATCAAAAAGTGAATTCATTATGATCAGGAAGGCTTCATTCCTGGAATGCAAGGCTGATTCAACTTATGCAATCAACAAATGTAATTCACCACATAAACCGAATTAAAAACAAAAATCATACAATCGTCTCAATATACACAGGAAAAAATTTTGATGAAATCTAAAATTCATTCATGCTAAAAATCCTTAAGAGACTATGTAACAAAGAACATATGTAAAAATAATAAAAGCCATATATGACAAACCCACAACCAACATTAAACTGAAAGGGCAAATACTAGAAGCATTTTCCTTGAGAACTAAAACAAGACAAAGATGCCCACTGTCACCACTCCTCTTTAACATGGTATCAGGAAATCCTTTCCAGAGCAATCAGGCAAGAAAAAGAAATAAAAGACATCCAAGTAGGAAAAGAAGAAGTCAAATTACATCTTTGCTGATGATATAATTCTATACCTAGAAAACCCTAAAGACTTCTCCAAAAGGCTTGTGGAACTAAGAAATGAATTCAATAAACTTTTAGAATACAAAATCAATGTATAAAAATCAGTGGAATTTCTATACAACAATAATATTCAAGCTGAGACTCAAATCAATAACACAATCTCATTTGGAATAGCAGCACACAAAAAGTACCTAGGAATACATCTAACTGTGGAGGTGAAAGATCTCTACAAGGATAATTACAAAACACTGCGAAATAAATCATAGATGATACGAACAAAAAGAAAAACATTTCATCCTCATGGATTGGAAGAATCAATACTGTTAAAATGGACACACTGCCCAGAGCAATCTACAGATTCAATCTATTCCTATCAAGATACCAACATCAGTTTTCAAATAACTACAAAAAGCTATTCTAAATTTCACATGGAACCAAAAAAAAGCCTAAATAGACAAAGCAATTTTAAGCAAAAAGAACAAAGTTGGAGACATTGCACTACCCAACTTCAAACTACACTATAAGGCTACAGTAAACAAGACAGCATGGTACTGGTACAAAAAAAGACATATAGACCAACGAAACATAATAGAGAACCCAGAAATAAAACCTCACACCTGTAGTCATTTGATCTTGAACAAAGTCAACAAAAATAATCAATGGTGAAGGGACCCCTTATTCAATAAATTGTGATGGGATACTGGGCTAGCCACATGCAGAAGAATGAAAATGGACGCCTATATTTCATCTTATACAAAAATTAACTCAAGGTAGATTAAAGATTAAAATATAAGATTTCACACTACAGAAATCCTAGAATTAAACCTAGGAAACACCATTCTGGACATAAGCTTTGGGAAATAATTTATGACTAAGTCCTCAAAAACATTTGCAACAAAAACAGAAATTGACTAGTGGGACCTAAGTAAACTAAACAGTTTCTTCACAGCAAAATAAGCTGTCAACAGAGTAAACAGACAACCTACAGAATGGGATAAAATATTCAGAAACTATGCATCCAACAAAAGTCTAATATCCAGAATTTATAAGGAACTCAAAAATTCAACAAGCAAAAAAACAACCCCATTAAATATGGGCAAAAGACATGAACAGAAACTTCTCAAAAAAAAAAAATGCTTGCAGCTAACAAACATGAAAAAATGCTCCACATCACTAATCATCAGAGAACTGTAAATCAAAACCACAATGAGATACCATCTCACACCAGTCAGAATGGCTAATATTAATAATTCAAAAAACAACAGATACTGGTAAGGCTGCAGAGAAAAGGGAATATGTACACTGTTGTTTGGAATGTAAATTAGTTCAGCCACAGTAAAAAAACAGCTTGGAGATTTCTCAAAAAACTTAAAACCAAACTGCCATTTGAGCCAGCAACCCCATTTCTGGATATATGTCCAAAAGAAAATAAATTTTTCACACATGCACTCATATGTTCATTACAGCACTGTTCACAACAGCAAAGACATGGAATCAACCAAGGTGTCGATCAGTGGTGGATAGGGAAGGAAATGGGGTTACCCACACCAGGGAATACTACACAGCCATAAAAAGGAAAAAAATAGTGTCCTTTGCAGCAACATGGATGCAGCTGGAGGCCATTATTCTAAGCAAGTTAATGCAGAAACAGACAACCAAATACTGCATGTTTTTATTTATAAGTGGAAGCTAAAAAAAAAGGGTACTCATGGACATACAGATGACTACGATAGACACTGGAGCTACTACAGTGAGGATTAGGTACCAATGGTTGAAAAACTACTGTGCATATGCTCAGTACCAGGGTGATGGGATCAATTGTACCCAAAACCTCAGCATCACACAATATACCCATGTAACACACCTGCACATGTTGTACCCCTCAATCTAAACTAAAAGTTGAAATTATTAAAATAACTATATCACTTTATGGGCCTAGAGGTGCATATAGAAGAAATAAACTTCTAATAATTTTATGTATACATTGGCTTTAAAACTCCTTTTTTGTTAAACTCTTCCATTCACTTAAAGAAAACAGTAAATAATGACCCTTTAGAAACCAAGTTTTAATTCATGTTTCAGACCTAGTTTTCTCTACAGGCATATAGGCACATAAGGGAGAAATTATATTATTATTATTTCATCTAAATATTGGCTTACAAACCCCTTTTTGTATGAAAATCTTACATTTAATGGGAAAGCAATTTTGTCTAATTTAGAAGTTTTTAAGGATTGTTCTAAGTTAAATGAATGATAGAACAACACTGAAGGTTTTAGCAAGTTGTAAAACATTTATAAAAATATAGATCTTGTAATGGAAGTTCTGTGGGTGTAAGAAACTTTGCCAAACTTTTAAGGATTAATTTTCCTGTAAATTAAACATTAAAATAAAAAGCACACTGATGCATGGCCAGAATCTGGATCCATGTGTCAGAATAACAGGGTTTCCTTAGAACAATGATCTGCTCTTTAATAAATTATTTAAAAAAAGATATAGAGGGTTTATTAAAATCTTACCTCATGGTCAAACTGATAAATTGGATAGATTTGTTTATAAAGCTTTATTAAAAACTGGGTTTAACATAAATAGTATACTAACATAGAGGTAAAATTTGGCTTTCTCTTTTGAACATAAATTTTGTGTAATATTGAGAGACAATAAAATATTTTTCTTTGCTCTTAAGTAAACTGCAAAAAAGGAAAAAGGCAGAGAGAAGAGACAGATTCAGGTGGCCTCATGTTGTTTTTATTGAGTCTTGTTGCTTAGAAAACTGAGTCTTCTATCAGCTTGTAAAGATTTCTGTCTTTTTGAAATTTTTGAGTTAATGTTTCAGCTAAGTGAAAACCCTGTGATCATATTTTGTGATATCAAATGTTGTAAACTTTTGATAGTTAACAAACTTTTCAAAATCAAAATTTTAAGTTCTACATTCAGTACTTCGACCTCATTAACTTGTTTAGATATTAGCCTACCTGAAGTTCAAAAGAGACATTTTGCTTATGTGGTATGTTGAAATCAAACAGGAGGCATTATCAAGTATAAGATGATGTTTGGTTTTCTTTAAATTCTATTTGTATAAATGTGCTATTTGTGTGTGTTCCAGAGTTGTGTGAGATGCTATAATTATGATATGACTTAGTATATGTCAGTAATTATAATTGTTATGTTAAATTGTTGTATGCCACAAAATTAACCAAAAGTCCTTGACAAGTGTGACTTGAACCGTAGCTATCCTAAGACTCCTGACATCCACAATTGTTGGTTTACTTTGATTTTTTCAAAAAGTGGCTTTATAATCCAGCTATAGGACTATGAAAAGTGCTCTTGAATAAAGGTTTCTAATAACTTTGAAGATTATGTTATTGGAATAAAGGGGAAATTTTCCAGGACACTCACAGAAAGCTGATATATTCATGAATATCAAGCAGAAGAGGAGTTAATTGCATGGACTGAACTAATGAAAGACTAAAATAACCTTTTTATAACTTTTTGTTTGAAACATTACTGATACTTTTTGTATCTTTTTTAGAGTCAAACAACTTCTCTTTTGGACTATTTACAGCTTTTAACAATTGAGTAATGTATTACACCTGTGAGCAAACTTTGGATCATGTTTATTTCTCTCTACCTGATTTCTCCAAAATGTGGAAACTATTTGTGAGTATTCTTAGCTTGTAGCAATGTAGTTATCTACATAAGGTCAATAAGAATCTGTTTTATTTTCTGGCAGCACACATAGAGTCACTGGTTACTTTACCAAGGCTTTGAATAAAATGACATAGTTTCAGATTGCTTTGAAAAATTGAGGTTGACCTATAGAGAGGATAACGGCCCTTTGGAAAAACTTGCCTCACATCTTGTCCTTCACAGGGTTCTTAACTTGTGGTAAGCAAAGAAAGTTACTTTCTGACAGGCCCAGGAACCCCAAGTTATCTTGGGACCTTGAGAAAAGAGGAATTCACTCAATTAACACAGGCATATGCAGGCACAGATAAATCCCTGGCTGTTCTCAAAAGGCTTGTACAAGGCCTAATCTGATATTCCTTATAGAAAAAAAATTCCAGCAAAGCCATTTAAAAAAAAAAGGCTACATGGCAAATAATTATTTTGCTGTACTTTATGCAAATAATTGGGCCATTTATAATAAGAGTAAAACTTATTTTCCAAAAAAGGTCCAATTATGATTTGTGTTTGGTAGAAATGGAGAACTGAAGAGAGAAAAATTGTTTCAGAAAAACTACAGTATACCTGTTGTTAGATTCCAACTTTGTTCACTGTTTTTGAGTCTCTGCTGATGATCCAATATTTAATTGGTTATCAGGGTCATTCACCTGGATCCCTCAAGACTTCTGGTCATTTCTACAGGAACTACTGAAGCAAAGACTTTTATTCCTTATCTTAGGCCTTATTATTTCTCTTATAATCTGCTGTTCACTTAAGTGCTATACTAAAGCTGTGGATAAAAGTACTAGTACTTTTATTATGCAGACCCTGAGACCTCAGCCAGGCACCTGCGAACACATGCAGAAAAATGTCAGATGGTTTCACTTCTCCTTCCCTAGGGGCAACCCCTACCCTAACTATGCCCCATATCAGCAGGAAGAAGTTAGAGTAGTCATTGTCCTTTTTCCCATCTTAGTAGCTCACACCTCAGAACTGAGGTGTGCTAAAACCCAAGGTGGGGGATGGTTGAAACTACCTTGCAAAATTCAGACAGTAAGAAATTTAACATACTTGACTCCATCTCTAACCTATCTTTGGTCATTCCCGGGTGTAGGACCAAGCTGATTTGGGGCAAAATGTAATTTATTGTTTAACCTTGAAACAAGGATGATAATACCCTTCCCAAAACTAAACCACCTTCATGAAATTAATGAAAGACCACAAGGTTAGGATTATAAGAGGGGCTTGAATTATGCAATGATGTGGGCATAGTTTCTACAATCCCCTTACTGCTCAGGAGTCATGTGGCCAGAGGTCACAATATTTGTGACTTCCTCAATTACTCCTATAGATAAGTGAAAGGAAAATAAATCTTAGGGGCCCCAAATCAACCAGCTAAAGGGAAAAGTCATGCTTGGAACTGCTTAGGGTAAACTTGCCTCCCATTCTATTCAGTTATCTCTCTGCTCACTGAGATAGATGCATATCTGATCGCCTCATTTGGAAAGGCTAATCAGATACTTAAAAGAGTGCAACCATTTTTCTCTCACCTGCCTGTGACCTGGAAGCCCCCTCCCTGATTCAAGTTGTCCCACCACTTTTCTGGACAGAACCGATGTACATCTTACTTACATTGATTGATGTCTCATGTCTCCCTAAAATGTATAAAACCAAGCTGCACCCTGATCACCTTGGGCACATGTTGTCAGGACCTCCTAAGGCTGTTTCACGGGGGCATGTCTTCAACTTTGGCAAAATAAACTTTCCAAATTAACTGAGACCTGTCTCAGATATTAGAGTTTCACAGATACCGTCACTATTATAGAGCCTAAGATTATTTTTTGAGATGTCATTCAGACTGACCCCACCCAGACTCCTGACTCATGATTCACTTGATCCTGTAGCCTCACCCGGAGGCTGAGTCAGTGCACAAGGACCGTTTTCCATACCCCTATGATTTCATTCCCAAACAAGCTACAGTCCCCATTCCTTAGTTCCTTATGTACCAAACTGTCCTTGAAAACCCCTAACCTCCAAGAATTTGGGGAGATTAATTTCAGTAATAACTCCATCTCCCACATGGTGTGGCTTGTCTTGCATCAATTAAATGCTTCCTTTACTGCAAAAAAAAAATCTTCCATTTATTGAAATAGAACAATTAATGATAAAAAAGAAATAGTTAAGATGGTAGATTTTATGTGATGTGCTTTTAATTAAAAATTTAAAAATTAAATTTAAAAATTAAAGTTAAACATAAAATGAAATTAAAATTTTTAAAAAACATGAGTAAACTTTATGAAATATGCTTTGGGTAGTAGTAATTAGAGTAATCTTTGAAGGGAATGAGTTGTGAAGAAATGGAACCTGTTTAAGCAATTTTTAAAAGTTCTCAAGCAGGTAAATGTTACTAAATATTTTAAGAAAAAAAAAGGAATCTAAGGAAAAACAAAAAGATAAATAAAGACTGCAATATCTTAAAACCGCTCATTTTATATTGTTGCAATGAAGAAATTAGGTTAAAAGTGCTAGACTAGAATGCTAGAGAACTGGGTTTGATCCTCAGCTCTACCACAAAGTAGAGCATTTTGAACAATTGTGATCCTTAACCAACTTTATGCCTTGTTGCCTCCTAAGTAATCTGGAGCTAATAGACCTTCCCTGTCATAAGGTTGTTGGGAAGATTAAGTGAGATAATGTTCATTGCAGTTTCTGGAAACCTGAAAAGTGTGATGCAAATATAAAGGATTGTTACTACCACTCAGGTCCTTTGTTACTGGAGAGTTTATAAAGCCTTCCCATAGTGTTTCATTCCACCCAAACTATGAGAATCCCTATTTTCATTTCTGTCTGATGGCTGTCAGAAAATTCACAGAAGCCATTGTTGCCTGAATAAGGGAATCACAGACCAAATATATAATAGCTCACTAAGATTTATTTTAAATGTCTGATCATAAAAAGGAGAAGGGAAATAATTCAAAGCGTTGTGTTATATGCCAAGTGGCCAAAATGGAGCAGTTTTTTTTCAGCTTAGCAACAAACTGCTATTTTCCTTGGTTTCTAGGACACAAATACTTCTGTTCTAAATGTTTAGAACTCCAATTTGCACATGTAATTTAGGGGAATGTGACCAACTGGTTTAGTAATATTTTTAGTTTTTTCCCCAAATGAAATAATGAAAATGAGGATATTCATTAGCATGGATAAAGTATTTAATACAAAGTAAAAACACTTTGGATTTCCTTTGCTTTCTGACATTTTTCATAGAGAGCCAAAACTGGGAAAAAATTCAAGTATGTCTTTCTGCCCAATGCCCAGCTTTTTTGGAATCAGCTACCCTGACACTATCACAGCCTCCTGTCACTCAGAAGTCTGTTGCTTCTCAGCCCCAAAGACATTTGTATTTTTATGATGTTTTTTGTGGGAGTTGCAATATATCGGAAGGTTGATATAGCACTGAATTTATTTGAAACAGATGTTTCGGGGAGAAGGAAGAAGACAAAACTGCACAAAGTGACCCCTTGAGGGATCTTGAATGCTTGGCTGAGAAATTCAGGTGTGAATTGATAAGTTGTTGTAACTTCACTAAGTTTTGATCAATTTGAATTTAGAACGATAAAACGTTTTTTCATTCCTTAAGAGAAACAAACCGGATTGAGAATACCTAAATAGTTTAATGTCAAAATTAAAATGAAGTTGCCACATAATTAATAATATGCATACTTGTTACAGAGCCAAAATCTGCCTGGACATATGAGCCATTTATATACATAATGTACATAATGATAAGGTAATTTTTATTCTACCACATCAAGCATTTCTAAAATCAGTTTTCTATTTCTGTCTCCCTCTTCACCTTTTTTTTTGAAACAGAGTCTCACTCTATTACCCAGGCTGGAGTGCAGTGGTGCAATCTCGACTCACTGCAACCTCCACCTCCCAGGCCTAAGTGATCTTCCCACCTTAGCCTCCTGAGTAGCTGGGACTACAGGTGCACAGCACCATGTTTGGCTAATTTTTTTGTATATTTGTAGAGACTCTAAAAGGATTAGTCCAGTTAAAATAATTCTAAAATACCCCTAAAGATATCATACCTTATATAATACCTTAATTCAAATGAATCAATTTATAATGGTAGCATTTAAGATGTCTGATCAAATAGAGGTGCTATTTCAGACAAAAAGGAGTCTTCAGAAACCCTTACATTATATGAGATGAGCAGATACCTATGTATGAAGCCAACAATAATATATTATTTCTACTCCATAAGTTTCCTCTTATAGTGGGGTGGATCTGGGAAGGTGAGGTTAGAAAATTCAAGAGTATTCCAAGGGAAACTGACTTACGGAATGGTGAGCCAAGGTATTACAAAAATATGCTCCTTCATAAAAGCACCAAGAACACTGTCAAAAAGTATCAAAATTAAAATTTTCAGAATTCTAGAAATTAAAAGAAAGCTTGAAACTATCCAATGTGCATGCATTGACAGCTGAATCTCAGTAAGAACAGCAAGCTTGGTACCATATACATTTGTCCTATTTCCATTTCCCTCTCAACAAATCCACAGTGGCCCTCAAAACCAACAACCTTGCAATCATGGTAGCCGTGAAAACCATCAACCTAACAGCCAATGGAGAAAAGAGAATGAATTTTGAGGTTCTAAAAAGCCATATCTACACAGAATTGTCACTATTTGACTTATCTAACAGTCCCTCGGAAACCTCCACTCACAGGGCTTACCTATTTGACCTGACTCAGAGCTGGCTCAAAGTGAACACCCTTTTTTGCCAAGGAAATTGCTGAAACAGTTCAGTGGCAATTATTTAATGTTACAGCTGCCTGAGTCAGTGATAGCAGCTGAAACAAAGAAGAAATTGACCAAAAAAAAACTTATAATGAAAGGCAGAGAGTATGTCCACAGAAGTTTTGAAAAATTCTGATATAAATCCTGAGAATCTAGAAGGCAACATGTGTGGGCAGGGCTGTGTATATGTCAAGTAACATAGGAGAAGGCACTCATCTCTCACCTGTGGCTGACCTAGAAGCTCTAACCAAGCAGGAAGTTAAGGATAAGGCAGAGTTGCCTACCATTTTCAGAAGTACTGAAGGCATGCCCAACACACAATACAGAGCCCTTCAGAAAAGGCTAGAATCTCTACCACTTTTAGAAGTACTGAAGGCATGCCCAGGATACATACAGAGACCCTCAGAAAAGGATAGGAGACTTTTCAATGGAAGAAATATAAGGAAATCCTGTCAAATCATTAGCTAATCATTAAACTAGAGATTTCAGAGGGCATACATAACAAAGAATATAGATTTTACAGAATTAGTTCAATGAAGTCACTAAACAGAAGAACTATGATAATAATAAAGGGTAACAACAGAAAAATCTGAGGAAAAGGAAGAATCTGATTTCCACAGTTACCACATTATGTTATGAAAATAGCCAGATTTCAACAACAATGACAAAAAATGAGTCATGCAAAGAACCAAGAGAGTATGGCTATACACAGAGTAAAGAAGCAGTTAATAAAAACTGTTCCTGAGGAAGCTGAAATATTGGACTTATTAATAAAAACTTTAAATGAATTATACTAAATAAACTCAAAGAATAAAAAGAAACCATGTCTAAAAAATTAAAGATAGGCATGATCACAATGTTTCATTAAATAGGGAACAACAATAAAGATACAGAAATTATTTTTAAAAATAGGACTTTTGGGTTGAAATGACACATAAAAAGTGAAAAATTCACTAGAGCAGATCAACATTAGATTTTAGCTGGCAGAAGAAAGAATCAGTTAACTTGAATGCAGGCTAAGTGATATTATATAATCTGAAAAACAGTAATAAAAATTAATGAAGGAAAAATGAATGGAGGACTACAGGACACCATAAAGTATACCAAAATAGGTAAATGGGTTCAAAGGGAGAAGAGAGAGAAAGGGACTGAAATAATATTGGAAGAAATAATAACCAAACACTCCACAAATTTGATGAAAATCATTAATGTACACATCTAAGAAGTTCAATAAAATCCAAGTAAGATAAACTCAGAAGAGCCACACCTAGATACATTACAGTCAAACTGTTGAAAGCTAAAGACAAAGAAAACCTTGACAGCAGCATGAGAGAAACAGCTCATCACACATAAGAGATTCTCAATAAGATCAACACATAATTTATCAGTAAAAACCATACAGGCAAGAAGGCAATGAGATCCATATTCAATGTATTGTAAGAATAAGACAGACTATTAGCCAGGAATTATAAATCCAGCAAAACTAGCTTTCAAAAATGAAGGATAACTTTAAAAATTCCAGATAAACAAAAACTGAGGGAATTCATCACTAGAAAATCTGTCCTTCCAGAAAGACAGACTCTTAAGCAGAGTCTTTAAGACTGAAATATAAGGACACTAAACAGTGACTCAAATACACATGAAGAAATAAGGCGTACCAGTAAAGGTAAACAAATATGTAAATAAAATTACTGTATATGTGTATATTTATTTATATCATTCTTTTCTCACACCTAATTTCAAAATTAACTGCATAAAACAATAATAGTATCTGTGTTGATAAGCACAAAATGTATAAAAATATAGTTCATGAAAATAATAACAAAGTATGGGAAACAAAGCTGTATAGAACCAAAAATGTTATATACTACTAAAAATCAATTTGTTATTAATCTAAACTAGGTTATTATAAATTAATACATTAATTGTAATCCCCATCTCAACTACTAAGAAAATAACTCAAAGAATATGTAAAAAAGTTAACAAAAAAATGGCAGCACAGCAGAAAATATCTATTAACACAAAAGAAAGCAGCAATGGAGAAACAGAAAAATAGAAAAGACAAAAGAGAAAAAAGAATATAGAAAAAACAAATGTAAATGGATTAAATATTCCAATCAAAATTTAGATATGACAGAATGGATTACTATATGTTGTCTATAAAAGACACACTTTAGATTCAAAGACAAAGAAGTTGCAAGCAAAATATGAAAAGTGAAATACCAGAAAAATAGTAATCCAAATAAAACTTGTATGACTATACTAATATCAGACAAAATAGACATTAAGACAAAAATTGTTACTAGAGACAAAGAAAGATGTTTAAAAATGATTAAAGTGTCAATTTCCTAGGAAGATATAATTACAAACATATATGCACCTAACAATAGAGCTTCAAAAACACATGAAGTAACAACTGACAGAATTGAAGAGAGAAACAGACAATTTGAAAATAGTAGTTGGAGACTTCAATACACTACATTAATATTGGATGAAATAACTAGGCATAATAATAACAAAGAAAAAAGGAAAACACTTTAACCCAGCCAGACCTTACAGTTAGCTATGGAATACTGAATCCAACAACAGGAAAATACACATCCTTCTTAAGTGCACATTGAATAATCTCTGCAAGAGACAGCATATTAGTCCATAAAACAAGTCTCAATACACATAAATGAACTTAAATCCTGAAATTATGTTCTCGGGCCAAAATAGATTAAAATTTAGATACATTTGCAAATATGGGGAAATTAAACACACTCTTAAGTGAACAATAAATCAAGAAAGAATTCACCAGAGAAATTTAAAAATATGTTAAGATAAAACTAAATTCAAAACTTATGTGTACAGCTAAAGCAATAATTGCAGGGAAATTTATAGGTGTAGACACTTATATCAAAAAAAAAAACTCAAATCAATAACCTAACCTACCGCTTAAGACACCAGAAAATGAAGAGTGAACTAAATCCAAAGCCAACAGAAGGAAACAAATAATAAAGATTAAATCAGACGTAAATCACAGAGAGAATACAAGAATAATACAGAAAATCAAGGAAACTAAAAGGTGTTTCTTTGAACAGATCAACACAATTGACAGGTCTTTAGCCATAGTGACCAAGAAGAAAAAGGGGAAACTTATTAAAATCAAGAAGAAAGAGGAAATGGTATTGCTAACTCTATAGAAATAAGCAGCCAGAGAGAAAGGTCGGGTTACCCACAAAGGGAAGCCCATCAGATTAACAGCTGATCTCTCGGCAGAAACTCTACAAGCCAGAAGAGAGTGGGGGCCAATATCCAACATTCTTAAAGAAAAGAATTTTCAACCCAGAATTTCATATCCAGCCAAACTAAGCTTCATAAGTGAAGGAGAAATAAAATCCTTTACAGACAAGCAAATGCTGAGAGATTTTGTCACCACCAGGCCTACCCTAAAAGAGCTCCCAAAGGAAGCACTAAACATGGAAAGGAACAACCGGTACCAGCCACTGCAAAAACACGCTAAATTGTAAAGACCTTCAAGGCTAGGAAAAAACTGCATCAACTAATGAGCAAAATAACCAGCTAACATCATAATGACAGGATCAAATTCACACATAACAATATTAACCTTAAATGTAAATGGGCTAAATGCTCCAATTAAAAGGCACAGACTGGCAAATTGGATAAAGAGTCAAGAACTACCAGAGTGCTGTATTCAGGAAACCCATTTCATGTGCAGAGACACACATAGGCTCAAAAGAAAGGGATGGAGGAAGATCTACCAAGCAAATGGAAAACAAAAAAAGGCAGGGGTTGCAATCCTAGTCTCTGATAAAACAGACTTTAAACCAACAACGATCAAAAGAGACAAAGAAGGCCATTACATAATGGTAAAGGGATCAATTCAACAAGAAGAACTAACTATCCTAAATATATATGCACTCAATACAGGAGCACCCAGATTCATAAAGCAAGTCCTTAATGACCTACAAAGAGACTTAGACTCCCACACAATAATAATGGGAGACTTTAACACCCCACTGTCAACATTAGACAGATCGATGAGACAGAAAGTTAACAAGGATATCCAGGAATTGAACTCAGCTCTGCACCAAGCGGACCTAATAGACATCTACAGAACTCTCTACCACAAATCAAGAGAATATACATTCTTTTCAGCGTCACAGCACACCTATTCCAAAATTGACCACATAGTTGGAAGTAAAGCACTCCTCAGCAAATGTAAAAGAACAGAAATTATAACCAACTATCTCGCAGACCACAGTGCAATCAAACTAGAACTCAAGATTAAGAAACTCACTCAAAACCACTCAACTACATGGAAACTGAACAACCTGCTCCTGAATGACTACTGGGTACATAACGAAATGAAGGCAGAAATAAAGATGTTCTTTGAAACCAACGAGAACAAAGACACAACATAACAGAATCTCTGGGACACATTCAAAGCAGTGTGTAGAGGGAAATCTATAGCACTAAATGCCCAAAAGAGAAAGCAGGAAAGATCTAAAATTGACACCCTAACATCACAATTAAAAGAACTAGAGAAGCAAGAGCAAACACATTCAAAAGCTAGCAGAAGGCAAGAAATAACTAAGATCAGAGCAGAACTGAAGGAAATAGAGATGCAAAACACCCTGCAAAAAATCAATGAAGCCAGGAGCTGGTTTTTTGAAAAGATCAACAAAATTGAAAGACTGCTAGCAAGACTAATAAAGAAGAAAATAGAGAAGAATCAAATAGATGCAATAAAAAATGACAAGGGGGATATCACCAACAATCCCACAGAAATACAAACTACCATCAGAGAATACTATAAACACCTCTATGCAAATAAACTAGAAAATCTAGAAGAAATGGATAAATGCCTCGATACATACACCCTCCCAAGACTAAACAAGGAAGAAGTTGAATCTCTGAATAGACTAATAACAGGCTCTGAAATTGAGGCAATAATTAATAGCTTACCAACCAAAAAAAGTCCAGGACCAGATGTATTCACAGCCGAATTCTACCAGAGGTACAAAGAGGAGCTGGTACCATTCCTTCTGAAACTATTCCAATCGATAGAAAAAGAGGGAATCCTCCCTAACTCATTTTATGAGGCCAGCATCATCCTGATACCAAAGCCTGGCAGAGACACAACAAAAAAAGATAATTTTAGACCAATATCCTTGATGAACACTGATGCAAGAATCCTCAATAAAATACTGGCAAATCGAATCCAGCAACACATCAAAAAGCTTATCCACCATGATCAAGTGGGCTTCATCCCTGGGATGCAAGGCTGGTTCAACATACGAAAATCAATAAATGTAATCCAGCATATAAACAGAACCAAAGACAAAAACCACATGATTATCTCAATAGATGCAGAAAAGGCCTTTGACAAAATTCAACACCCCTTCATGCTAAAAACCCTCAATAAATTAGGAATTGATGGGAAGTATCTCAAAATAATAAGAGCTATCTATGACAAACCCACAGCCAATATCATACTGAATGGAAAAAACTGGAAGTATTCCCTGTGAAAACTGGCACTAGACAGGGATGCCCTCTCTCACCACTCCTATTCAACATATTGTTGGAAGTTCTGGCCAGGGCAATCAGGCAGGAGAAGGAAATAAAGGGCATTCAATTAGGAAAAGAGGAAGTCAAATTGTCCCTGTTTGCAGATGACATGCTTGTATATCTAGAAAACCCCATCATCTCAGCCCAAAATCTCCTTAAGCTGATAAGCAACTTCAGCAAAGTCTCAGGATACAAAATCAACGTACAAAAATCACAAGCATTCTTATACACCAATAACAGATAAACAGAGAGCCAAATCATGAGTGAACTCCCACTCACAATTGCTTCAAAGAGAATAAAATACCTAGGAATCCAACTTACAAGGGGTGTGAAGGACCTCTTCAAGGAGAACTACAAACCACTGCTCACGGAAATAAAAGAGAATACAAACAAATGGAAGAACATTCCATGCTCATGGGTAGGAAGAATCAAGATCATGAAAATGGCCATACTGCCCAAGGTAATTTATAGATTCAATGCCATCTCCATCAAGCTACCAATGACTTTCTTCACAGAATTGGAAAAAACCTCTTTAAAGTTCATATGGAACCAAAAAAGAGCCCGCATTGCCAAGTCAACCCTAAGCCAAAAGAACAAAGCTGGAGGCATCACGCTACCTGACTTCAAACTATATTACAAGGCTACAGTAACCAAAACAGCATGATACTGGTACCAAAACAGAGATATAGATCAATGGAACAGAACAGAGCCCTCAGAAATAATGCCATATATCTACAACTATCTGATCTTTGACAAATCTGACAAAAACAAGCAATGGGGAAAGGATTCCCTATTGAATAAATGGTGCTGGGAAAACTGGCTAGCCATATGTAGAAAGCTGAAACTGGACACCTTCCTTACACCTTATACAAAAAGTAATTCAAGATGGATTAACAACTTACATGTTAGACCTAAAACCATAAAAACCCTAGAAGAAAACCTAGGCAATACCATTCAGGACATAGGCATGGGCAAGGACTTCATGTCTAAAACAACAAAAGCAAGGGCAACAAAAGCCAAAATTGACAAATGGGATCTAATTCAACTAAAGAGCTTCTGAACAGCAAAAGAAACTACCATCAGAGTGAACACGCAACCTACAGAATGGGAGAAAATTTTTGCAACCTACTCATCTGACAAAGGGCTAATATCCAGAATCTAAAATGAACTGAAGCAAATTTACAAGAAAAAAAACAAACAACCCAATCAAAAAGTGGGCAAAGGATATGAACAGACACTTCTCAGAAGAAGACATTTACACAGCCAAAAAACACATGAAAAAATGCTCATCATCACTGGCCATCAGAGAAATGCAAATCAAAACCACAATGAGATAGCATCTCACACCAGTTAGAATGGCGATCATTAAAAAGTCAGGAAACAACAGGTGCTGGAGAGGATGTGGAGAAATAGGAACACTTTTACACTGTTGGTGGGACTGTAAACTAGTTCAACCATTGTGGAAGTCAGTGTGGCGATTCCTCAGGGATCTAGAACTAGAAATACCATTTGACCCAGCCATCCCATTACTGGGTATATACCCAAAGGATTATAAATCATGCTGCTATAAAGACACATGCATATATATGTTTTTTGTGGCACTATTTACAATAGCAAAGACTTGGAACCAACCCAAATGTCCAACAATGATAGACTGGATTAAGAAAATGTGGCACATATACACCATGGAATACTATGCAGCCATAAAAAATGATGAGTTCATGTCCTTTGTAGGGACATGGATGAAGCTTGAAACCATCATTCTCAGCAAACTATCGCAAGGATAAAAAACCAAACACCGCATGTTCTCACTCATAGGTGGGAATTGAACAATGAGAACACATGGACACAGGAAGGGGAACATCACACACCGGGGACTGTTGTGGGGTGGGGGGAGGGGGGAGGGATAGCATTAGGAGATGTACCTAATGCTAAATGATGAGTTAATGGGTGCAGCACACCAACATGGCACATGTATACATATGTTACAAACCTGCACGTTGTGCACATGTACCCTAAAACTTAAAGTATAATAATAAAAAAAAGAAATAAAGATAGTTATAAGAGAATACTGTGGACAACTATATGTAACAAACTGGATAATATAGATGAAATTGACAAATTCTTAGACACAAACTACTGAAACTGACTCAAGAAGCCATAGAAAATCTGAATATACTTATAAAAATTAGTAATTTTTAAAATTTCCCATAAAAAATAGCCCAGGAGAAGATTGGTTTTACTGATGAATTCTACCTAATGTTCAAAGAAGAATTAATACTAATTTTTCACACACTTTCAAAACTAAAAAAGGAAGGAACACTTCCCAACTCATTCTATGACTCCAGTATTAACCTGATACCAAAACTAGACAAAGGTATCTCAAGAAAGGAATACTACAGGCCAATGTATCTTCTGAATATGTTTGTAAATGTCTCAGCAAAATACCAGCAACCTGAATCCAGGAAGGATTATGTAAAATGACCAATTATTATTTATCCCAAAAATGTAAGTTTGGTTTAACATGCAAAAATCAATCAACATAATATACCGCATAAATAGAATAAAAGACAGAAACCACACGGTAATCCCAATATATGCAGAAAAAGCAATGGACAAAATCCAATATGCTTTCATTATAAAACCACTCAATAAAATAGAAATAGAAAAAGAAATCCTCAACCTGATAAGGGGAATCTACAAAAACCCACACTTGACATTATACTCAATTGTGAGAGACTTAAAGTTTTACCCCTAAAATTAAAAATAAGACAATGATGTTAACTCTAGTGACTTCTATTCATCATTGTACTGGAAGTTCTTGCCAGATCAAATAGGTAAGAAAAAAAAATAAAAGGCATCAGAATGGAAAGAAAAAGGGCAAAATATCTTTAATCACAAATAACATGATAATGTATATAATCTTAAAGAATCATCCCATAATTATTAGAAATAATAAAATTAATTCAGCAAGGTTGCAAAATACAAAATCAGTATATGAAAATCAATTGCTCTGTACACTATCAATAGCTATCCAAAATGAAATTAAGAAAACAATGCTATATAAGATAGCATAAAAACAGAATACTTAGAAATGAATTTAACAAAAGCAATGTAAAACATACTCTGACAACTATAAAACATCACTGAAGGAAATTTTTAAAGACTTAAATAAATTTAAAGATACCCTGTGTTCATGAATCAGATTTGATATTGTTAAGATGGCTATCCTCCCCAATTTGACCTACAGATTCAATGCAATTCTTACCAAAAATCCCAGATGGCCTTTGTACAGAAATTGACAATTTTGCCCTAAAATTCAAATGAAAATGCAAGAGACCCAGCACAACCAAAAAAAATATGAAAAAGAACAACAAAGTTAAAGCACTCACACATCTGAATTTCAAAACAGTATAAAGCTAGAGTAATTATTACCATATGGTACTGGCATGAAGGTATACATATATACCAATGGAACAGAACTGGGAGTCCAGAAATAAACACACACATTTATGATTAATTAATTTTTGACAAGGGGGCCAACAGAGAAAAAGAGTTTCAATAGAGGAAAAGAGTTTATTTAACAAATGGTGTTATAACAAGTTAATATCCACATGCAAAAGAATGAAATTGTACCCTTATTTTGCACTATATACAAAATGAACTTTAAACGGATGAAAGAACTAAACAGAACAGCTAAAATTACAACACTCTTAAAACATAAAAGAACATCTTCATGGCCTTCAATTTGTCAATGATTGCTTAAGTATGTCAACAAAAACACAATCAACAATGAATAGATAATTTGGACTTCATCAAAATTAAAAATTTTGTACAGAAAATTACATCCTCAAAAAAGTGAAAATACAACACATAGAATATAATAAAATATATGCAAAACACTTAGCTCACAAAGGACTTGTATAGAAAGACAAGCAATCCGATTTTAAAACAGTCAAAAAACAGTCTGAACAGACATTTCTTCAAGGAACATATAAAAATGGCCAATATGCCCATGAGAAGATACTCAACAAATTAGCCATCAAGGAAATAGAAATCAAAATCATAATGTGATACCACACTACACCACCAGGATGGCTATAATAAAAAAGTCAGACAATAGTAAGTGTTAGTGATGATGTGAAGAAATTCGAACTTTCATACTTTGCTGCTGGAAATGTAAAATGGTGCAGCCACTTGGGAAAGAAGTTTGACAATTCCCCAAAAAGTTAAAGTGAAAGAAGCCCGACACAAAAGGACACATATTGTATAAATCCATTTGTATGAAATGACCAGAACAGGCAAATTCATAGAAACAGAAAGTAGATTAGTGGTTTCCATGGCCTTGGAGAAGTGACTGCTAATGGGTACAGAGTTTCTTTTTGGGGTAATAAGAATTTTCTGAAATTGATAGTGATGAGAGTTGCACAACTCTCTGCGTATACTAAAAACTACTAACTGTACACCCATACAATGGCTAAATTTTATGGTATGTGAATTATATCTCAATAAAGCTGTTATTTTTTTAAAAGGTGGGAGGCTGACTTGAGTAATAATAAAACTCCAGTCTCCTGGTTAGCTGGCTCTACCTGTATTAAACTCTTTCTTTATTGCATTTCCCCGTCTCAATAAATCAGCTCTATTTGAGAAGTGGGCAAGATGAACCCGTTAGGAGGCTCCAAATCTGGGGGCTTGTCAAGAATATCCCTGTGGGTACCTGCCTGCATTTGGCAGACCCTCACTGGCAATGCATCCAGAGGCCAGTTCTCTTGGACTAAGGGCTGCCCCAGTGCTGTCTCTACCAGCAGGGTACTGTTAACCCATAGTGCATGCATCTGATTGCAATGAAGAAATAGTTCCTGAAAGATGTCTTATAACCTCGTTTGGTGAGTATTCCAGACACTATAAACACCCTCTTCCTTCTCCTAATCTGCTGGCCTCTCTAGAGGCACTGTAACCCTATCATAGGGACTGTTGGACTCTCCCTACAGTGTAGGAAGAGTCTCAGTTTGGGGAGGTCGCTGTCCAGCTGGATGTAGAATTGCGAACCTGTTTGAAGGAATGTTTTCCTGGTTTGGAAAGCTTTCTATTTATCTTTATTTCATCATGTGTGTTTATATATGTAGAGGAAATCTCTGAAGAAATTGCTGATGGAAGTCCAGCAGGCTTTTCTAGTTTATCTGATCAGTCACATTTGGTGAGCCCTGAAGGAACTGCTAGCAGGAGTTCAACAGGCCTAATTCAGAGTGGCTGTTCACCCTTCCATCTTGGCCAGATACCACCTGTTAAAACTCCTGGTCAGTGGTGTTTTTATCCCACATTGAGTGGATCAAAGGATGACAGGAGCCAATGGGAGCAAGTTTGAGCCTTGCCAGGTTGATACATGGTCTCTAAGTAAAGTAACTTGTGTCTGTGTTTTGTCATGTATTTTGCTCTGGCTGAAATCAGAAACATGAATTAGGTTCCCCCATGCAGCCTGTTCAGTGGCATCTTGCAAAATTGAGAGATTTTTTTCCTGTGGTTCAGTGAAATGGAAAAGGATGAGTTTCTTTTGTAACATGGATTGGCCTCCACAGCTATGGCACAGCGAGCAGGGTTATCAGAAGCCACTGTGGTCTTCTGGAAGCTGCAGAGAAATGGAATGTGAAAAACTAGCATGCTGACAAAGGATAAGAACTGTTGGTGGGACTGTAAACTAGTTCAACCATTGTGGAAGTCAGTGTGGCGATTCCTCAGGGATCTAGAACTAGAAATACCATTTGACCCAGCCATCCCATTACTGGGTATATACCCAAATGAGTATAAATCATGCTGCTATAAAGACACATGCACACGTATGTTTATTGCGGCACTATTCACAATAGCAAAGACTTGGAACCAACCCAAATGTCCAACAATGATAGACTGGATTAAGAAAATGTGGCACATATACACCATGGAATACTATGCAGCCATAAAAAATGATGAGTTCATATCCTTTGTAGGGACATGGATGAAATTGGAAACCATCATTCTCAGTAAACTATCGCAAGAACAAAAAACCAAACACCGCATATTCTCACTCATAGGTGGGAATTGAACAATGAGATCACATGGACACAGGAAGGGGAATATCACACTCTGGGGACTGTGGTGGGGTCGGGGGAGGGGGGAGGGATAGCATTGGGAGATATACCTAATGCTAGATGACACATTAGTGGGTGCAGCGCACCAGCATGGCACATGTATACATATGTAACTAACCTGCACAATGTGCACATGTAAAAAAAAAGAATTTCTTACCAACCAGATTCTGACCTCTCTCTGTCTTTCTGAGCAAATCAGTTGAGTGAATTATAAAAGTCACTGTCTCCTCTACAAAGTTTTGATTAATTGGAAAATGGATTTGTGTGACTAGTATTTTTGTCTTTCTGCATCATTCTGTCATGGGGAGGAGTATCATAGGATGGAACATGGGCCTAGGATGCCTATAAGCCTGCTGTTTGAGCCAGCCCTGAATACTGGTCAGTTACAAACTTTGCTGTGAGTCCCTGAAACAAAAACTGGATGAGGTTTCCCTTTCATCTTGTTTTGCGTCCTTGGGAACTTGACTTTGTGACCAAGTGGATGTACTCTCTTTGTCTTTGCCATCCAGAGGGTGGGATTCGGGGGTTCATGTCAAGCAGCAAGTCTAAAAGAACACATGATAATGTAACAGTTAGCCTTAAGAATTATCGTGAGCAATCAAAATCCTTCACAAGCTCAAAACTGTCTGCTCCAGGTTGCTTCTGGGAAAAGCAGTAGCAACTGCCCCAAGATATATCTCAGTAACTAAGATTGCCCTTTTACTGCAGTGGCCTGGGTTCAATCCTCAGATCAGGAAATGAGTCCTTTCTGGTTTGATATTTCTGTAACCTTTGGCATTTATTTATTCTTTTCCTCTATATGAACAGCTTCTGACTTCATCTCTTGAATTTTCCTCTCTCTGAGCTATCTCTGGGGAGATTCTAAATCTTGTAAAACCTCATGCACCCCCAGTTAAGTCATAACCTCAGTTAGGGCTTACTTATTTCATGTGAGAGATTGCTTTCGATAAGAAATTCAAAAGCCAGAAATATCAACTGTTTGTCCCAGCTAAAATCTGGTGATAAAAGATTTGAAAGGATTTTCTTTTGAGAGTTCTGTAGCTAAAAATTGACTTAATTGAGGCTGATAATTGGGTTATATGTATGTAGATATTGTTTTAAGCCCATGCTCTCCCTCTGTATAAACTTCTCAGTCAATAGAATTCTGTTTCCCATTTATTCCTATCTTCCCCTCCTTTCTCTTGTACCTAATCTTTTGACTATTGGGGAAACCAGAAATAACTTTGCCTATTTAACCTTGATATATAATAGCTAGATAAGAGGTATACTTTTTAAAATGGCTAATGGTAATTCCTTACAGTGAATAATTATTACTACAGGTTGATACTCTTTTCTTTGTGCATTTTGTGAACCCAAAAGTATCTGGGACAGATCTTAATTAATTTAGAAAGTTTACTTTGCCAAAGTTAAGGACAGACTCATAACACAGCCTCAGGAGGGCCTGATGATATGTACCCAAGGTGGTCAGGGTACAGCTTGCTTTTATACATTTCAAAGATACATGAGACATCAATCAATATGTGTGAGATGTACATTGGTTTGTCTGGTAAGGCAAGACAAATCAAAACTCGAAGCAGGGTGGAGTGGGGGGCTTCCAGGTAATAGATAGATAAGAGAAAAAGGTTGCATTCTTTTGAATCCTTAATCACCCTTCCACTGAATATGTAATTAAGTCTGGCTCAGTGAATCTGCATTTTTACATAAACAATAGAGCATAGGAAGCAACTGGATATGGATTCATCTCAAGTGAGCAGAGGGGTGACTTTCTGTTCTGCACCTGTGAAGATCAGCTGTCAGTATACATTGTCCGGGTGAAATTCAACAGAAGTGCTTTAGGGCAAAGATCTTGAGGCCCACAAGGAATTTCCTTGTGGGCAAATTGTGAGGGAGGTATGTAGCTCTTTTACCTTTTTCGCTCTCTTATTTAGGAATAAAATGGGAGGCAGGTTTGCCTGATGTCGTTTCTAGCTTGAATTTTTCTTGGCTTGGTGATTTGGGGGTCTTGAGATTTACTTTTCTTTCCTAATTTAAATAGGAAAAGTGTGCTCTTAAACACATTTATGGGATGGAAAATAGGTTGATTACAGTGTGTGCTAATTGGAATTGGGTTTTCCAAGAGCTTTGGGTAAACGTCCTTGCAATGAAATATGCTGTGGGAGCATTGCACTTTCTTGTCTCATAGTGTTTCCCTCTTTTGGGGATTCAGGGTTTGATGTAAGAATGAAATCCTTGATTTTGGAGATCTCTTTTGCCTTCCATCTGTGCCTGTTGATTTGGTCCTAGAAACTACATGCTTTCCTGGCCATGTCTTTAAAAGGCTCCACCCTAAAGCAAATAATCCCATTAAGAAACTTACATCTTTAAGGAAAGCTAAATGTGTAATAGTGTCTGCTTTTCTTGGCCATCATGATATGAATTATTTATTTTGTTTCACCTAAGAATTACTTCTTTAAAATGCAAATTTAGAACTGCATGGCTGACAGTTGTTTAGGGCAGGGAACAAGTAATAAAGAGACAGATGGTCTAAAGTGAGATAAAAACTTAAAACCTAGCAAATGAAGAATCTTGTAACTATCAGATCTGCTTCTGTCTATTTATATGTGTTGCATGTGTGAAGTTTCATTATCAAATGATATAAAACAGCTCTAATTATTTGACTTTAAAAAATAAGCATTTAAGCAAATATTTTGTCAGAGAAATAAAAACTGTAATGCCTTTTAGTTCATGTGACTAATAATCTTTGAAAAATCAAGACAGCTTTAAAATTTATTAGTAAAAGAAAATGTCTTCAAAATATAATTTGGTCTAAATTAGGCAGGTCGAATGTAGTGCTTGCTAGATGCTTTAAGGGCATAAACTGTTTCCATGATTTTTTATAATTGTTTGACTTGCCTGCTTTAGAACCATTAGATTCTAGGTAACACCTGGGGACATGTGGCGTTAGCCACGCACCCTAGCCATGCTGGAATAAGTCAGAAATTATCTGCAGTTCTTTCTTGTGTCCTATCCTAATTAAAATTGATTCCACTAAACACAAAAGTTAGGTGTTTTTAATGAAAAGATATAAAAATGTGTTTTAAAAAAGAAAGAGTGATTTTGACTAGTTTAAAGGGTTTACAGATTTTTTAAGTTAAAAATATAAAACTGAAAGTTTAAACAAGTTGTAGAAGGTTTGTAAATAATTGATCTTGTAAAAACAATCTGTGGGTGTGAGAAAATTGACCAAAATTTGAAAAAGCTATTTAGTTTTTCTATGAATTAAACAATAAAATAAAAAGAACACTGATGCAGGGTCAGAATCTAAGCACATGTGTCAGAATAACAGGATATTTATGGGGCACTAATCTCCTCCTTAATTAAAATATTATAAGATTATAAAGGGTTTGTACATATCTTACCTTATGGCCAAACTAATTAAAATGGATAATTTGTTTATAAAATTTTATTAAAAGTTAGCTTTAGCATTAATAATGCACTAATGCAAAGGCAAAATTTGATTTTCGCTTTTCAACAAGAATTTCATGTAATATTGAGAGGTGAAAGACTTTTGTTTGTCTTTCTAGTAAACTGCAGGATAAAAGAAGGGAGAGAGAAGAGACAGATTCAGTTGGCTTCATGCTATCTTCACTGAATCTTGTTTGGATAGCTGAGTCTCCCTTCTATCAGAGTAAAGGTTTTTGCCTTTTTGAAATTTTTGAGTTATTACTTCACCTAAATGAATCACCTGTGATTCTATTTAGTGATATAAAGTGTTTTAAACCTTTGATATTTGACAAACCTCCAAAAATGAAATTCTACGTTATTTTTTACTTCATTAACCTTTAAGTATTAAGTCCCCTGAAGTCCAAAATAAATATATTCAACTTATTTGGTATATTAAAATTGTACAGGAGATTTGTCAAATATAAAATGGTGTTTTACTTTGAGTTAAAATTATATAAATGTATTATTCCAAAATTTTTTAAGATTCTTATAATTCTGACATGTCTCAGCATATGTTATCAGTAATAATTATGATCATTATATTAAATTGTGTGCCACATAGACTAACAGATTTACTTGTCAATTATGTTTTTAGCCATGGCTGTCCTAAGACTTTTGTCATCCACATACAATTGTTGTCTTGTTTTGATCTTTTCCAAAAGGCAGTTTATAATTAGTTGTAAGACTCTGATGGATGCTCCTGAATGCATGTTTCTGATAACTTTAGAGATTATGCCATTGAAACAAAAAACAAAAGCACAAACTTCCTAAACTCTAGTAGAGTGCTGATGTATTCATGAGGACTGCTAGCCCAATATCTGACAGAACATGAATTAATTGAAAGTGCTGAACTAATAAAAGACTAAAATAATCTTTTTATGATTTTCTGTTTGAAACATTGCTAATTCTTTTGTTTTTTGGATTCCAGAAAACCTTTTGCTTTTGAGCTATTGACAGAGTATGCTCTTGTGAGCAAAATTTGAAGCATACTTTATTCTCTCTACCTAATTTCTCCAGAAATTCAAAACTATTTGTAATTATACTTAATTTATGTCAATATGGTTATTTGCATATGTTCAATATGAATGTGTTTTCTTTTGCAATAGAACTCTGGTAATTTTACCAAGGTTTTGACTGGAATGGCATGTTTTCAGATATAAACAGACTGCTTTGAGAAATCAAAGTTGACTTACATGGCCAATAAAAGACCCTTGGGAAAACTGGCCTCGTACTTTGATGCAGTCCTTGTACAGGGCTTCTGACCCATGGTAAGTAAAGAATGTTATTTTCTGACAGACCCAGGATCCCCAGGTTATCTTGGGACCTTGAGAAGAGAGGAATTCACTGAACTCATACAGGTTTCTGCTAAATTCATGGCTGAGCTTGAGGCTTTAAAAAAGTCTAATCTGAGATTCCTTATGGAAAAAAAAAGTTCCAGCAAAGCCAATTTGAAAAAAAAAAAAAAGCCTATATGGCAAATAACTATTCTTGATGCACTTTAGGCAAATAATCAAGCCAAATATAATAAGACTAAAACTTATTTTTCAAATAAATTTTTCCTACTATAATTTGTCTTTAATAAAAATGGGGACTAGAGAGAGAAAAATTATGTTTCAGGAAAAAATCTATACTACACCTGTTGTTAGCTACTATTCTTGTCCATTGTTATTGGGTTTTTAAAATCATTTTCTACAATTTGGTGTAAATCCTGAATTCTTTTCAAACTACAAGTCTCCAAATTAATGCTTTCAAATTTTTCTTCCATTTTTCTGATTTGGACTCAATGAAATTGCTACTACCTTTTTCCTGAGGCCCTGAAAGCTGAAGCTTATTCCTTGTGATACAGGTTTGAAAAAATGTGTCAGATTGCCACCACCTTCCTCCTCTGCAACTAAAGATGTTTTGAGTCCAACATCTGGCTAAATTATGTGCAACATTAACCTTTGTTTTTCTTATGTTTTCATAGAAATGTCTCATTAAAAATCTGTTTGTTGTCATCACATATAAAAGGCTACCTCATCTGCAATACGACCTCCTGAAATAGGAACCAGCTGTTTAAACTAATCTATTCTCAGGATGAAACCTAACAAATATATAGTACAATGTATTAGCTTTGGGGAGCATTTATACTTAAAAATGATTACTAGTTTATTTGAAATTCAAATTTAACTTAATGTTATATATTTTTATTTGCCATCTGGCAATCCTACATGGGTTCCAGTTTCATCAGGCCCTCTTAGTTTTCATTGTAAAGGTGGAAATAACAGTAATATCTAACATCTACAGAGACTCAACATTTCAAAGCACATGTACATGCATCAACTCATTTTATCTTCACAAAAATCCTAGGAAGTAGGTCAAGTAGGCATTTATTATTCATTTGGACATTAATGTCGAGAAAAGTGAAATGACTTATTCAAGGCCACCCAGCTATTAAGTAGCAGAGCCAGGATTTAAACTTGAGTCTTCTAACCCAGTGCTGCTCAAAGTTTATGGGCATAGGAATTTCCTGGGGCTTTTTTAAAAAAATCAAATACTGATTCAGGAGGTTTATGGTGAAGCCCAAGGTTCTTAATTTCTAACAATTTTCCAAGTGATCCTGATTTTGCTTGTCCTTGGACTACAGTTCTAGGTAGAGAGAGTCTAACTCATCTCCAAAGCTAAGCATTCATAATCTTAATAACATAGTCTTAGTAACAGGAAGAAGTGGAGTTTATTATCTAGATAATTCAGTCCTAAATATACTTCTGAATGAGTTAGTCCTCTTTTCTCCCAAAGCTGCTACCAATAGAAGAATACATCACCTTGGGGTTACATCACATGCTACGAATCACTGAGCTAAAGATAATCTGAGTGAAAAGTTAGATGGTGGTTCTTTCTATTACTCCTCTCAACCAAACTCTTCAGCAAAGTGGTTAGGGTGAAGAGAGCTTTCATTTGATTAATTTACCTAAAGACATCTCTGATCATGATACTTTCTGACTTAAAATTTTCAATGGCTCCCCATTACCTACTGAATAAAATTTAGACCCCTTAGCCTGGCCTTCAGAGCCCTCCATAATTTTGCTCTGATTTCAGCATAACTTTCCAGCTTTATCTCCCTCCACACTCCTTCCTTTCCTCTATCTTCATACAAACTGAGCTACCTTCCTTTCTTTAGAACCCACCCAAGCCTTCCTGCTTTTGTGCCTTTGCTCACACTCTTTTATGTATTGTGTCATCTCTTCCATCTCTATATAGTGAGATGTAATCTATCCATTAAGACACCGCTCTAATCCTCTTTCTCCCATAAAGGCTTCCTTAAATTAGCCTGTTGTCTGACCCCTGACCAGCCCAAACCAACATGCAATCTTCCTCATATGAACCTCCACATGCTTTGTTTGCATCTCTCTTGTATGTAATAAGAGTTTAAGACTTCTAAAAAAAGGACCCCACCCTGAGCTTGAATTTCTACCATTTGCTACCCATACCTTAGGTTAGACACTTCCTTTCCTAGAATCTTCTTGTAAAATATAAGCACTCTTGAAACGGATATCTTTCAGTTTCTAGCCTGTTAATATAAATGAGCTTTTTAGGTTCTCTCTCCTTCAAAGAGGGGATAAGTGGGTCATCATTAAAGGATAGCTCAGTTTAGATTATAACCTTAAGTTAGGATACAGGAGGCACTAAAATGATATGCAAGAACAACCAAGACATTTATTTATCACATATTTACAGAGCATCCACTATATATCAGGCACCGATGCTTCCAGTTTTAATGCTGAAGGGCAAAAGTTCTTGAAAAACAAAGAAAACCAACAGTCCCTTTCTTTCAACCTAAATGCTAAGGTCTTCTTCGTCGGCAACTCTTTCACGAGAATCATCAAGCAGTGTATATCACACTTGAGTAATATGAGGTGATACATTATCTCTGTCTGTTAAAATAAACACTAAAACTATGGTGGCTAAACTAAATGTAAGAGCACATCATTTGAGTGTTTAGACATATTTGAAAGCTGCTTCTCTTTTTTCCTCCAACTGATCATATGTATGGCAGGTCTTCTCATGAAGTCTTTCTTTGGTTTATTGTTATGAGGAAGTAAAATGCTTTCAAGCGGTGATGGAGGCTACCCCAAAAGAAAATATTCCTGGTGAAAGTTAGAACTAGGAAGAATGCCTTGATAGTATAAAGAAAGAAGGAAATCACTGATTTCAATATATCATGAATTTCTTAGAAGAATGGAGACACAATGAAGCATATTATCCATGGTATCCGGGTTTTTATACTTATAGAAAGTTTGTGGGTAAAATGCATTTGTAAAAATAACTAAGACTCAATTTTCCCACTACTTGCTTTTGGTTGTGAGCCTGTGAGCATGAACAGACCAGAATTAGAACCATAAACTATAAAAGTTCTCCATAAATGTTGAGAAATTCCACCTGTGGACTGCAGCTTCAGCCTGTGCCCCAGAGTTCTAACCTGCCAGCCTGCCCTACAAATTTTGGACTTCTCTAGCCAGCCCCTACAGTTGTATAAGCCAATTCCTTGAAATTAATCTTTTAATATATTATATAGTTTGGCTCTGTGTCACCACCAAAATCTCATGTCAAATTATAATTCCCAGTGTTGGGGGAAGGACCTGATGGGAGGTGATTGGATCATGGGGGTGGATTTCCCCCTTGCTGTTCTTATGATCATGAGTGAGTTTCCATCAGATCTGGTTGTTTAAGTGTGTAGCACTTCCCGTTTGAGCTCTCTCTCTCTCTCTCCTGCCACCATGTGAAGATGTTCTTGCTTCCCCTTCACCTTCCACGATGATTGTAAGTTTCCTGAGGCCTCCCAATCATGCCTCTAGTCAATTAAACCTCTTTTCTTCATAAATTACCCAGTTTCAGGTAGTTATCTATAGCAATGTGAGAACAGACTAATACAATATGTTATATTAATACAAAATAATACATCTCCTACTGGTTTTGTTTCTCAGGTTGAACTCTAACTGATTAAAAATTTTTGTCAAGCATAGCTTCTGACGGGATTATAAAGCCCTTCATAATCTTCCCAGTCTCACTTTTTACAGTTTCCCACTGCTACCCACATGCATCCTATGCTCTAGCCACAACAAACTCCTCGCCAGATTGTGAATGAACACTCCAATGTGCTTTTGCACGTGCTCTTCCCTTGGCTGGCAATGGTCTTCTTTCTACCTCTTTGCCTATGTGTGTGCAAACTCCTATGCATCTTCAAGATACAACACAACTGTCACCCCTCATTTTTCAGACAAGTTAAGTTCTTCCTGCTCTGTATACTCAGAATATTTTGAATATCCTGCTATTATATAGCACTTGCTTCTCTATCTTATTTACATCTGTGTCTCCTCACTGAACTGTGAGCTCCTAAGGGGCAGCATCCAGCATAACCTCTGGCACTTAATAAGCACTCAACAAATTTTGCTGACTAAATAATGCATGCATTAAATTAATTAAAACAACAAAGTTAATTTGTAGAAAGTATGTGATAATTAAGAATAAAGCATAATTCATATCAAAATGACTGTCATTATTACAAGTCAAAACAAAAAGTTGTTCTCGCTTTATTTCTCTACTATCCAGTATTAACCACTAGAAATTTCTGTGATAAAAAAATGTTCTATATCTGTGCTGTTTAATATTATATATGGCATCCACATATAGCTACTGAGCATTTGAAACGTGGCTATTGTGGCTAAAGAACTTAATTTTGTATTTTATTTAATATTAATTTAAATTAAAATATCCATATATGGCTAGGGTCCACGAAATTATACTAAGAATGAAGGAATGAAGAGCAGCACTTTCCCCTGGTGTCTTTAACCATTTAAACTTTCTCTCTCTCTCTCTCTCTCACACACACACACACACACGCACACACACACTAAAAAACAAAGATCTGGATCCTATACCTATAATATAGATAGCCTGTCTAGGCACTGGCAAAATGATTATGAAGCTTCGGAGGAAAAGAGGAAATCTGGGCTAGGTTAGAACAAAAAAGAATCCATTCACTTAGGATGGGCCCTGGACTTCAGTCTTTGTCATCCTCTGGCCTCAGATGAGGCCATTAAACCACCACCATATGCACATTCTGCAGGAGTAATTTAAGCACTTCCAGACTAATGGAACTTAACTTGGGGCGTTAACATCAAGTTCCACACACTGCATGCAATGTGATTACCTTACCAACCAGTGGGATCACATTTGGGATGGAAACACCCTAATCCAGCCAATCATGTGGAAGGCAAACAGACTCCAAGATGAAAAGTTTCCACAGCCATATGTGATTTGAGAAATCAGTGTAAAGGGTGTTTCCAGTGGGAAGGAAATAAGGTTTTTGTCACAATTAACATTATTTAGAATTGCCATGGTGTTATCAGTAAGTTTCAATTTGGCACTGTCTTATCAACATACTCACAAATTCAAGAAAGACCACACAGGCTGGAGCATCAAGTGGATCCCCAGGATTGCAACTATGTTTGAGGAAGCCGGATGAAAGGAGTACTCCCTTATCCTCCTGGGGATTGAAGTGAAGGAAAAAAAAATTTCTCCCTAGAGGAAGAGAAAGTGAAGACATACCATCTCTACCCATGGATAAGAGTTGTTTTTTTTTTTTTTTAACCACAAAGCTTAGGTGTGGTCATTTGAAAAAAAATTTAATACTTAGACTGCACCAACTTACACATCTGGATGATCATGACCCTGATTGGGTCAGGTAGAGACAAATAAAACAAGATCCTTGATGTCACAGAGTCCCAACTCTTAAATATTAAAGCTAAAAATGCCCCTAGAAATGATCTAGCCAAATTCCAATTGTAGAAATGGGTAAACAGAAACCCAGAGGATAAGGGTCTTCCCTCAAGTCATACAGTTGTTTAGTTGCAGAGCTGGAACTAAAATCTCAGTCTTTTTTATCTCTGTTTATTGCTCTTTTTCCTACATCAGTTTAGTGCAGGTGAACTCATAGTACAATGAAACAGACAGAATACCATATGATTAAATACCAAAGCAGATGTAAAGTAAATAAATATTGTAGGTGGTTAAAGCAGGGTGTTCTATGACCTTTACATTTTTTAGAAAAGAGGGTACTATGTCAAACATATTAACTGTTTTTCTCTCTCAACTGCTATGTTAAATTTTCCTCCCCCACTTTTTCTTACTCCTTTTTTGTTCAAATTTCTTTAAAGAGTTCTGTAGTCTTCCTCTCCCCTGCTATCTTATCTTGTTCATGTCATGTTAATAATAGAATCCAGAAAAACCCAACTGACATGTTGTGGATTTTGGCATAATCACAATGGCTATTTTTACTGCTGTGATAAAGTTGCTAATAAACAAATAGCTAATATTAATTCCCATTTCTTATCTGTATAAAATGATTCATTAGAGCTCTTTTATTTGACAAGTTCTCCTTAATGAAGTGAAGTTTAAGAGTTGCCACACTGAAGAGATTTTAAGCGCTCTAATATGGGCATTGAGGCAGAGCCTTGCCATCAATATGTACTTTGCCACAGAAGTAGTGTGCTAGGGGACTCAGGCTACAGTAGAGGCTGGGTGTTAAATAACTGTGGAATTTATGCTTTTTTGGCTAAAAAGTATCTAGATTTGGCTCTGATCCAAGTTAGTATACATAATGTTCTTGTTAAGACTTAAATTGTTAGAGGATACTAACTCCTTGTCTGTGGGAACATAGTCAGTTTGATTCAGGGTACTTCTACTAGAACTTCTTCATGGTCCTTGGAATTTTTCCACTACACGATATATGATGTTTGCTATAAACCAATTGCTTTCATGGAAGCATCAAATCTTAGTTGGAATGGATCTTAAGTCACCCAATCCAATTCCCTAATAACTGGGGTACACAGACTCCCTCTATGAATTCCTGGACAAATGGCCATCCAGAAGCTAATTAAACTCCTCCAGAAACAAAGAACTTTGTACTTCATCGGCAGTCCATTTCATTTTTTTTTTGTATTTTTTTTTATTTTTAGTAGAGATGGGGTTTCACCGTGTTAGTTAGGCTGGTCTCGATCTCCTGACCTCGTGATCCACCCGCCTCAGCCTCCCAAAGTGCTGGGATTACAGGCTTGAACCACCGCACCCAGCCCATTTCATTTTATAGACAGTGTTAACTAGCAGAAAGCATTATCCCATATTGAGTCAAAATCTGTCTCTATAGTTTTTACCCTTGAACATAGTTCTTACTCAGGAAAATACAGAGCAAGCCTGCTCCTTCTTCCCAATGATAGCCCTTTAAAGTATTTAAAAACAGACATTATATACTCTTTAGTACTCCCCCTTCCTAGACTAAATATGTTCAATTCCATCAACTATTTCTCATTTGAGATTATTTTTGGCCCTTTCATGACCCTGATTAGATTAGTCTAGATGTACCCTAGTTTGCCAAACTTCCTTTTAGAGTGTGGTATCTCAACATCAATATTATACTCCAAATAAAGAAAGGTGCTCCTTCTACTAATTCTATTCAGTCAGTCCAGACTGACATAGAATTAATAGAAAGAGCACCTCCCTTGATTTTGAGCACAATGTATTTGTTAATGTAAAATTGTTCAGTTTCTGTTTCCTTCTTTCCTCCCTCTCTCTTTTGCATTTTCGGCAACCACATAAATTCACATTCAGCCGTAGTCAGCTAAATTCCTGAAACTTTTCCACACAAGCTGCCATTAAGTCACATCATTTCCCAAAGTCAACAAAAACATATATTGGGGACAGGGCACCCTTTTCAATAAATGGTGCTGGGAAAATTGAATTGCCATATACAGAAGGATGAAGTTGGACCACTATTTCTCATCATATACCGAAGCCAACTCAAGATCATTTAAAGACTTAAATGTAAGACCTGAAACTATAAAATCCAAGAAGAAAACCTAGGGAAAACTCTTTTGGACTTTGGCCTAGCAAAGAATTTATGGCTAATACCTCAAAAGCAAATGCTACAAAAACAAAAATAGACAATGAGACTTAATTACACTAAAAAGCTTCTGCACAGCAACAGAAACAATCAACAGAGTGAACAAACTTGCAGAATGGAAGAAAATATTTGCACACTATGAATTCGACAAGAGACTAACATCCAGAATTTACAATGAACTCAAACAACTCAACAATAACAAAGAAGAAAACTACCCCATTATAAAGTGGGCAATGGACATGAACCAACGTTTTTCAAAATAAGACATACAAATGGCCAGCAAGCATATGAAAAACTGCTCAATATCACTAATCATCTAATAATCAGAGAAATGCAAATTAAAACTACAATGAGATATTATCTCACACCACACAGAATGGCAATTATTACAAAGTCAAAAAATAACAGATGTTGGCAAGGATGCAGGGAAAAGGGAATGCTTTTCCACTGTTGGTGGGAATGTAATTAATACAACCTCTAGAGAAAATGGTATGGAGATTTCTCAAAGAACTAAAAATAACACTACCATTTAATCCAGCAATCCCAGTATTGGTTATCTACCCAAAGGAAAAGAAATAATTGTATTAAAAAGATACCTACCCTTATATGTTTATCACAGCACTATTCACAACAGCAAATATATGGAATCAATCTAAGTGTGTCTATCAATGGTTGATTGGATGAAGAAAATGTGGTATACACACACACACACACACACACACACCACGAAATACTATTCAGCCAGGCCATTGTGTTAAGTGAAGTAACTCAGAAACAGAAAATCAAAAACCACATATTCTCACCTGTAAGTGGGAGCTAAATTATGTCCAAGCATGGGCATGGAGTGTGAAGTAATAGACATAAGAATCTCGGAAGGGTGAAAGAGATGAGCAATTACTTAATGGTTACAATGTATATTATTCAGGGGATAGTTATACTAAAAGCCCAGACTTCACCACTATGCAATATATCTATTTAACAAAACTGCACTTGTACAACTTAAATTTATACAAATAAAAGAGAGAGGAAAAAGTCATGTCATTTCCCATATTTTATTAACCATTTATTTGCTTAATATATATCGTCTCCTATGTTGCAAGCACTTTGGTAAGTTTGAGAGTATATAAATAAATTTGAGGGTTGACTTTTGCAAATCTAGTTCAGAATTTTACTTTTTCCTTATTTAATTTTACTTTGTTAAATTCCACTCGACATTGAGATCTTTGTGGATTCCAATCATGATGCCCATCACATTCACTGCATCTTCTAACTTCATATAATCTGTACATTTCGACAAATTACACTTTGTGTCCTTATCAAAATCCATGATAAAACTTTTGAATAGTTTTCAATTTTAGTAGATTTGCTGCCAAAGCAAGTACTTGAATGATTTTCAAAATCTGATTCTGCATAAATTGATAAATTTCTTCTTAGCCGCTTCCTTTTCCCTTGCCAAATTAATGGCTCTGATTTTTTAAACTTACATTTTGTTTTTAATTGTACATACATACGGGTACATTGAGATGGTACAATACATGTATACATTGTGCGATGATCAAATCAGGTAATTGGCATATTTGTTACTTCAAACAATTACTACTTTGTGGTGAGAGGAATTAAGAGATTCTATTCTAGTTATTTTGAGATATAGAATATATTATTGTTAACTGGAGTCATCCAATTGTGAGAACACCAGAACGCATTCCTTTCTTCTAACTGTAACATTGTACCCATTGATACCCCCCCCATACTCCTCTTCCACCTCCCCTCCCCAGAGTCTGATCACCACTATTCTACACTCTATTGCTATAAGATCAACTATTTTACATTTCACGTATGAGTGAGATCGTGTCATAATTCTCCCACTGTGCTTGACTTTTTTCACTTAACATAATGTCCTCTAGGTTAATCCTTGTGGTCGCGAATGACAGAATTTTATTCTTTCTTCTTGCTGAATCGTATTCCTTTGTGTATATATACACTACATTTGCTTTATTCATTCATCTATTCATGAACACTCAGATTGATTCCATGTCTTGGCATTTGTGAATAGTGTTGCAATAAACCTAAAAGTGTAGGTATCTCTTCAATATATTAAATTCATTTCCTTTGAATATATATATACCCAGTAGTAGAATTGTTCGATCATATGGTGTATTCATTTTTAATTTTTTGAAGAACCTTCATACTGTTATCCATAGTGGCTGTACTAATACATTCTCATAAACAATGCATAAGATTTCCATTTTATGCATACCCTCATTAGCATTGTTTTTGTCTTTTTAATTATAGCCATTCTAACTGGAGTAAGATGATATCTTATTGTAGTTTTGATTTCCATTTCCCTGATGTTAACTGATGATGGACATTTTTTCATACACCTTTTGGCCATTTGTATATGTTCTTTTTAGAAATGTCTATTTAGGTCTTTTGCCCATTTTTCTTATTTTTAAATGTACACATAATAGTTGTACATTATGTTGAAATAAATGTGACATCATGATACATGTATACAATGCGTAATGAACAAATAAGGGTAATTGGGATTACAATCACCTCAAACATTTATTTATTCTTTGTTTTTGGGACATTAGAATTCTGCTTTTCTAGTTATTTTGAAATATACAATAAATTATTGTTGACTATAATTTCTCTATGGTGCTATCAAATAATAGAAAATATTTCTTTTATCTAACTGTTTTTGTACTTATTAACTAACTTCTCTTCATCCCTCCTACCTCTCTTCCCTTCCCAGCCTCTGAGAACCAACATTCTACTACTCTCAACCTTCATGATACCCACTGTTTTTCCCGTATATGAGTGAAAACATCTGATATTTGACTTTCTGTGTCTGGGTTATTCTACTTAACATAATGACCTCCAATTCCATCCATGTTCCTGCAAATAAGAGAACTTCATTCCTTTTATACCTGAATAATATTCCATTATGTATATATGTCACATTTTCTTTATTCATTAATTTGTTGGTGGACATGTAAGATGATTCCATATCTTGGCTATTGTGAATAGTGCTGTAGTAAACAAAAGCATGCAAATAATTCTTCAATATATTGATTTTCTTTTCTTAGAATATACACCCAGTAGTGAAATAGCTAAATCATATGGTAGTTCTATTTTAATTTTTTGAGGAACCTCCATACTACTTTCCATAATGACTGTTCTCCTTCACATTGTCACCAACAGTGTAGAGAGTTCCCTTTCTCCACATTTTCACTGGCATTTGTTATCTTTTTTTTTTTTCTTGCAAACAGCCATTCTGACTGGAATGAGATGAAATCTCAATGTGGTTTTGATATGCATTTCCCTGATGATGAGTGATGTTGAGCATTTATTATATACCTGTTGGGCAATTGTTTTTCTTCTTTTAGTAAATGTCTATTCAGATCTTTTGCCATTTTTATATCAGATTATTTGTTTTTCTGCTATTGGGTTTTTGAGTTCCCTATGTATTGTGGTGATTGGTACCTTGTTGGCTGAATAGTTCACATCTTTCCCCTTCTGTAAGTTGTCTCTTAACTTTGTTGATTTTTTCCTTTGATGTGTAGAAGCTTTTCATCTTCAAGTAACCCCATTTTTCCATTTTTGCTTTGGTTGCCTGTCCTTTTGAGGTCTTACACAAAATATTTTTGCACAGACCAATGTCCTAATGCATTTTCCCAACATTTTCTTCTAGTAGTTTCATAGTTTTAGACATTACATTGAAATTTGAGTTGATTTTTGTACCGCATGAAATATGGGGATCTAGTTTGATTATTCTGCATATAAATGTCCAGTCTCTTACTGTTCCATATATATTTTAGCATTGTTTTTGCTATTTCTGTGAATAATATTATTGGAATTTTGAAAAGGATTTCATTCAATCTATAAATTGTTTTAAGTAGTATAGTTATTTTAACAATATTAATTCCTCCAATCCATAAGCATGGCATATTCTTCCTATTTTTGGTGTCCTCTTCAATTTCTTTTATCAGTGCTTTATGGTTTTTTTGTACAGGTCTTTTACATCTTTGGTTAAATTGCTTTCTAGGTATTTTATATTCTTTGTAGCTTTTGTAAATGGGATTGCTTTTTTGCTTCCTTTTTCACATTGTTCTCCATTGGCATATATAAATGCTACTGATTTTTGTATTTGATTTCACATTGTACAAATTTATTGAATTCATTTATGAGTTCTAACAGGTTTTTTTGGCAAGAGTCTTTAGGTTTTAATAAAGATAAGATCATGTCATCTGCATGCAAGACGAATTTGACTTCTTCCTTTCCAGGTTGTATGTCATTATTTATTTCTTTTGCCTAATAGCTCTGGCCAGCTCTTTCAGTATTACCTTCAATAAGAGTGGTGAAAGTAGGCATCTTAGTGTTGGTCCAGATCATAGAGAAAAGCCTTTTAATTTTTCCCTGTTCAGTATGGTGTTGGCTCTGGTTTTGTTGTATATGGCCTTTATTATTTTGAAGTATGTACTTTCTATATCCAGCTTTTGAGGGTTTTTTCAAAAAGTGATGTTGAATTTTATTAATTTTTTTAGCATCTATTGAAATGATCATGTGGTTTTTGTTCTCGGTTCTGTTAATGTGAAGTACTACACTTATTGACTTGCATATGTTGAACCATCCCTGCATCCCTGGGATGAATGAACTTTTTAATGTGCTGTTGAGCTCAGTTTTCTAGTATTTTTTGTAGGGGATTTTTACATCTATGTTCATCAGGGATCTTGGCCTGCAGTTTTCTTTTATTGTTGTGCCTTTGATTTGGGTATCAGAGTAATGCTGTCCTGTACAATGACTTGGGAAGAATTCCTTCCTTTTCAATTTTTTGAAGCATTTAAATAGAATTAGTATCAGTTCTTCCTTAAATGTTTGGAAGAGTTCAGTAGTGAAACCATCAGGGTCTGGGCTTTTCTGTGATGGGAGACATTTTATTACAGCTTTGATCTCATTTCTCATTATTGGTTTGTTGAGATTTTCTATTTTTTCATGCTTCAATCTTGGTGGACTGAATGTGTCCAGGAATTTATCCATCCGTCCTTTCTAGGTTTTCCAATGTGTTGACATAAAGTTGTTGATAATAGTCTCTAATGTTTCTTTGTATTTTTGTTGTCTCAGTTGTGTTCTTTTTTTATTATGCTTTTATTTATTTGGGTTTTCTCTCTTCTTTTCTTAGTTTAGCTAAAAGTTTTTCAACTTTTTTGTCTTTTCAAAAAAAACAAATTTTCATTTCCTTAATCTTTTGTATTGTTTTTTAGTCTCAATTTTTTTTATTTCTACTCTAGTCTTTATTATTTCTTTCTTTCTGCTAATTTTGGGTTTGATTTGTTCTTGCATGTTTAGTTTTCATGTGTTTCAGGAAAGGTTTGATTTTTCTTCTTAATTTCTTCATTGACCCATTGGTCATTTAGGAGCATGTTGTTTAATTTCCCCGTGTTTCTATAATTTCCAAGGTTCTCCTTGTTATGGATGTTTAGTTTTATTCTATTGTGTTCCAAAAGGTACTCTATATGATTTCTACTTTTTTGAACTTCTTCAGGTTTGAATGGCTGATATGTAAATGAAAAGAATATGTATTTGGTAGCAGTTGAATGAAATGTTCTGTAAATATTAGGTAGGACTATTTGGTCTAGTGTATAGTTTAATTCTGATGTTTCCTTGTTGATTTTCTGCCTGCATGATCTGTCCATTGCTGAAACTGGAGTGTTGAAGCCCCCTACTATTATTGTATTGCAGTCTATCTCTCCCTTTTGATCTATTAATGTTTGCTTCACACACTTGGATGCTCCAGTGTTGGGTGCATAGATATTTATTATTGTTATATCCTCTTTCTGTATTTATCTTTTTATTATTATATAGTGACCTTTTTGTCTCTACACTGTCTTTGACATGTCATCTATTTTATCTGATATAACAACTTCTGCTTTTTGTTGGTTTTCACTTCCATGGTATATCTTTTACTAGTTCTTCGTTTTCATCCTATATATGTCTTTACTGGTGAGGTGGGTTTCTTATGGGAAGCATATAGTTGGGCCTTGTTTATTTATCCACTCAGCCACTCTGTCTTTTTTTTTGTTTGTTTGTTTGTTTTGACGGAGTCTCACACTGTCGCCCAGAATGGAGTGCAGTGGCCCGATCTCGGCTCACTGCAAGCTCCGCCTTCCGGGTTCACGCCATTCTCCTGCCTCAGCCTCCCAAGTAGCTGGGACTACAGGCACCTGCCACCACGCCCGGCTAATTTTTTGTATTTTTAGTAGAGACGGGGTTTCACCATGTTAGCCAGGGTGGTCTTGATCTCTTGACCTCGTGATCTGCCCGCCTCGGCTTCCCAAAGTGCTGGGATTACAGGCGTCAGCCACCGCCTCTGGCCCACTCTGTCTTTTAATTGGAGAGTTGAATCTTTTACATTCATTATTATTGATAAGTAATAAATTACTGCTGTCATTTTTCATTTGTTTTCTGGTTGCTTTCCTAACCCCACTCTTGCTTTCTTCCTTTTTTACGGTCATCTTTTGTGGTTATGTGATTTTCTCCAGTAGTATGTTTTAATTCATTCTTTTTATTTTTGTATATCTATTGTATGTTTTTGCATTGTTAGCATGAGGCTCACTGAAAGCATCTCACAGATATTAACAAGGTACTTTAAAGAGATGAAAACTTGTTTTAGATCACAAAAAGAATAAAAAAATGATAAAATTTCTAAACTTTAACTCCATCTCCCCTCATTTGGACTTTTGGTTGTCTAAATTACATGACTTTAGCTGCCTCTCTTTACAGATTGTCATGGCTATTGTTTTCTGATAGGTTTGTCTTTTAGACTCTATACTAGAGTTATAAGTAATTGCATACCACAATTACAGTATGGGAGTATTCAGGAATTGTCTTTGTAATTAATTTTACCAATGGGTTTTATACCTTCAAAAGTATTTTTGCACATTAGTGGTTATTTCTTTCAGATTGAAGAATTCCCTTTAGTATTTCTTGTAAGGCAGTTCTGGTGGTGTTAAATTCTCTTAGATTTTGTTTGTCTGGGAAAGAATTTATCTCTTCTTTATATTAAAAGGACAGATTTGCTGAATAAAATATTCTTGAATGACTTTTTTTTTTAAATTTCAGCACTTTGAAAATGCTGTTCCCTTCTCTCCTGGTCTGTATAATTTCCATTGAGATGTGTGTGGCCAGACAAATTGGAGCTTCTCTATATATTATTTGCTTCTTTTCTCTTGATGCTTTTAGGATACTTCTCTGTTCTTGACCTTTGAGAAGTTAATTATTATATGCCTTGGGGTGGTCTTACTTGAGTCAAATCTACTTTTGTGTTTTTGGACCTTCATGTACCTAAATATTCACATTTTTCTCAAGTTTTGGTAAGTTTTTTGTTATTTGTTTGAATAAGCTTTCTACCTTTTACTCTTGTTCAACTTCCTCTAGAACACCAACAATTCTTAGATTTTGAGGGGGATAATTATCTACATCTTGTAGGTGGTCTTTATTCCTTTTTATTCTTTTTCTCATCTGACTGATTGATTTTAAATAGCCTATCTTTGAGCTCACTGATCCTTCTTCTGCCTGATTTATTCTGCTGTTGAGAGCCTCCAATAAATTTTTTAGTTCAGGAAATGTATTTCTCACTTCTGAGATTGCTGTTTGTTTTTTAATTATTTCTACCACTTTATTAAATTTTTCTGATAAATTTCTGAATCACTTTTCTTTGTTATCTTGTAGATCACTGAATTTCCTTAAAACTGCTATTTTGAGCTCCTGGACGGAGAGTTTACATATGGCCATCTCATTAGGGTCAGTCACTGGTTCCTTGCTTTGTCCATTTCAGGAGGTCATGGTTCCATGTTTGCTGTTGTTTCTTGTGGATTTATGTGTATGTCTTTTTATTAAAGTATTAGTTCTTTATTCCAGTCTTCTCTGTCTGGCTTGTTTTGGTTTTTATTGGATATGTTTGCATAGAGTATCTTTTAATTTATCCATTGAATTTCTTATATTTTTTCCCACTAGGTCACTGCTGATTTATCAGCACTAGATGACAACAAAAGAACGTTATCCTTGGCTCTAGAAAATGATCTGAGCACTTTGCCTCTAGAATGGGGGAGAACTCAAAGAAGATATCCCAGCAGTCTGAAAAGGCAGGCTGAAGGTTTGTGCCCAACAGACCTGTGAAATGCACCTCCTACAACATGGTGGTGCTGAACGGTTTGCTGAACTCTAATTTAGCATCTCCTTTGGTTGAGGTGCAGAGCAGAGTTTCCAGGGCCAGAGACAGTAGTCCTGCCTTCTCCTTTGGCCTCTGTCTGTTCTCAACAACATATATCTCTTCAGGTACTCACAATTCTTTCCATGGGTTGAGGCTTGGACAGGTCTCTTGCCAAGGAACATAAGATGGTGAGAAATCTGGCAGTCCACCTCAATCTCACTTGTTGCAGTGTAGAAAACATGAATTAGGGAAGATTTTTTACATACTTTGTGCTGGGAAGATTGGGGAAAAGTATGGCATGGATATGAAAATCTGAATCTCTTAATCATACCTATAATTGAAACAACAGATGCTGGAGAGGATGTGGAGAAATAGGAATGCTTTTACACTGTTGGTGGGAGTGTAAATTAGTTCACTCATTGTGGAAGACAGTGTGGCAATTCCTCAAGGATCTAGAACCAGATATAACATTTGACTCAGCAATCCCATTACTGGGTATATGCCCAAAGGATTATAAATCATTCTACTATAAAGACACATGCACATGTATGTTTATTGCAGCACTATTCACCATAGCAAAGACATGGAACCAACCCAAATGTCCAGCAATGATAGACTGGATAAAGAAAATGTGGCACATATACACCATAGAATACTATGCAGCCATAAAAAAGGATGAGTTCATGTCCTTTGCAGGGACATGGATTAAGCTGGAAACCATCATTCTCAGCAAACAAACACAGGAACAGAAAACCAAACACTGCATGTTCTCACTCATAAGTGGGAGTTGAACAATGAGAACACATGGACACAGGGAGGGGAAAGTCACACAGTGGAGCCTGTCAGGGGGTGGGGGACTAAGGGAAGGACAGCATTAGGAGAAATACCTAATGTAGATGACGAGTTGATGGGTGCAGCAAACCACCATGGCATGTGTATACCTATGTAACAAACCTGCACGTTCTGCACATGTATCCCAGAACTTAAAGTATAATAAAAAAATGAATTATTTTGTTGATTTAAATATATATATATAGTAGTAAAACATACATGAGAGAAAATTTACCATTTTAACCATTTTATGTGTAGAATTCAGTGGTATTAAATACATTCACACTGTTGTGCAACCATCATCCATCTTCACAAATTTTTATCTTCCCAAAGTGAAACTCCATACCAATTAAAAATTATTCCCCATTTCTACCTTACCCCAGCTTCTGGTGACCACCACTTCAGTATTTCTCTCTATGTATTTTACTACCCTAGGTAACTCATAAAACTCAAATCATACAAGATTTGTTCTTTCGTTACTGGTTTATTTCACTTATCAAAATGTCTTCAAGGTCCACCCATGCATCAGAATTTCCTTCATTTCTAAGGCCAAATAATATTCCATTGCATGCATATACCACATGCTGTTTATCTATTCATTCATCAGAGGACACTTGGGTTCATTTTACCACTTGGCTATTGTTAAAGCTGCTGTGAACATGTGTGCACAAATATTCGTTCAAGCCACTGCTTTCAATTATTTTGGAGATATACCAGAATGGAATTGCTGAATATACGATTCTTAATGTACCATTTTACATTCCCACCAGTGGTGCACAGGGCTTTCAATTTTTCCACATGCTCACCAACACCTATTATTTTCTGGGGTTTGTTGCTGTTGTTGTCTTACAATAACCATCCTAATAAGTGTGAAGTGGTATCACATCATGGTTTCAATTTTCATTTCCCTAATGATTAGTGATGTTGAGCATCTTCTCATGTGTTTATTGGTGGCTTGTACATCTTCTTTTGAGATATGTCTATTCAAGCTGTTTTCCCATTTTAAAAATCAAGTTGTTTGTTTTTGTGTTTGACTTGTAAAAGCTCTTTTTGTATTCTGGATATTAACCCCTTATCAGATATATGATTTGCAAATATTTTCTCCAATTTTGTGGATTGCCTTTTCACTCGGCTAATAATGTCCTTCTTGCAAAAAAAGTTTTTTTAACTTTGATATGGTTTAATCTATTTTTTCTTATGCTGCTGTATTTTTTATGTCATATCCCCCCAAAATTATTGCCAAATCTAATACCATCCAGCTTTTTCTCCATGTTCTCTTATAAGATTGTTATAGTTTTAGTTATTATCTTTCAGTTTTTTATCCGTTTTTAGTTAACTTTGGTATATGGCATAAGGTAAGGGTCAACTTCATTCTTTTCTATATGAATATTTAGTTTTGCCAATGTCCTATATTGAAAAGACTGTTCTTTACCCACTGAATAAAGTTAGCACCCTTATAAATAGCACCTTAGCATCATATATATACGTAACCAGAAAATCATTTGACCTTATATGTGAGGGTTTACATCTCAGATATCGATTCTTTTTCATTGAGCTATATGTCTGCCTTTATGCTATACCATACTGTTTTCATTACTATAGCTATGTAGTATGTTTTGAAATCAGGAAGTGTGAAACATGCAACTTTGGTCTTGTAGAGTATTTTTACTATTGGTGGTCCCTTCAGATTCATATGAATTTTAGGACGGATTTTGCTAATCCTAAAAACAATGTTTTTGGGATTCTGATAGAGATTGCATTGAATCTATGGATTGCTTTGGGTAGTACTGAAATCATAAAAGTATTAAACCTTTCAACCTGTGAACACAGGATATCTTCCATTTATTTGTGTCTTCTTTAATTTATTTCAGCAACATTTTGTAGTTGTCAATATGCAAGTCTTTTGTCTCCTTGGTTAACTTTATTTCTAAGTATTTTATACTTTTGCGTGCTATTGTAAATGGAATTTTTCTTAATTTCTTTTTCATATTGTTCATTACTACTGTATAAAACCATAACTGATTTTTAATTGTTAATTTTCTACCCTCAACTTTGTTTAATATATTTTTCGTTCTAACAAGTTTTTTGTGGAACCTTTAGGGATTTTTACATTTAAGGTCATGTATTCTTCAAAAAGAGATAATTTTACTTCTTCCTTATCAATTTGGGTATTTTTTATTTATTTTTCTTACCTAATTGCTCTGGCTATTACTTTCCATACTATGTTAAATGGAAGTGGTGATATCAGGTATATTTGCATTCTTCGTGATCTTAAAGGAAAAGTTTTTGGTTTTTCACCTTTCAGTATAATATTAGCTGTGGGTTTTTCATATATGGTCTTTGTAATGTTGAGGTAGTTGCCTTCAATTCCTAGTTTATTGGGGTTTTTGTCATAAATGGTGTTGTATTTTTCAAATACTCTTTCTGCATCTATCATGTGGCTGTTTTTTGCTTCATTCTGTTAATATGATGTATCAAAAGTACTGATTTTCATATGCTGAACCATCCTTGCATACAGAGATAAATACCAGTAGGGCATGTCATATAAACCTTTTAATATACTATTGAATTCAGTTTGCTGGTATTTTTTTGAAAATTTCTGTATCAATATTCATAAGGTACGTTTGTCTGAAGTTTTTTGTAGCATCTTTGTCTGGTGTTGGTAGCAGAGTCATGTTGGCCTTATAAAACAAGTTTAGAAGCTTTCCCTTTTCTTCAATTTTTTGGAAGAGTTTGAGGAAGATTGGTATTAACTCTTCCTTACATAATTGGTAGAAGTCACCCATGAAGCCATCTGGTCCTAGGTTTTTCTTTGTTGGGAAGTTTTTGATTACTGATTCAATCTTCTTACTAGTTGTAGATCTGTTTAGATTTTGTTTCTTCGTGATTCAGTCCTGGTATGTTGAGTGTTTCTAGGATTTTCTAGGATTTTGTCCATCCCATCTACTTGTTGGCATACAATTATTCATAGTACTCTTGTATAATCCTTTTTCTGTAAAATCAGTAGTAATGTCCCCTCTTTCATTTGTGATTTTAGTTATTTGAGTTTTCTCTCTTCCTTTTTTTTCATCAGTATAGCTAAAGTCTTGTAAATTTTGTTGACTTTTCATAGATTTTCTCTACTGTTTTCCTAGTCTCCCCTTTGTTTATCTCTGCTCTAGTCTCTGTTAATTCCTTTTTTCTGTTAGTTTTGGGTTTAGTTTGTTCTTATTGTTCTAAAAGATCTAAAGATGGGTTATTGACTGGAGATCCTCTCTTTTAATGTAGATATTTACAGCTATGAATGTTTCTTTTATCACTAATTTCACTGCCTCCCATAAGTTTTAGTATGCTGTGTTTTAATTTTCATTTGTCTCAAAATATTTTCTAATTTCTGAGTAGCTGACACAGAGACCAATCCCTTGGACAACCCACAGACAGGTTAGAAAGTTCAGTCTGCTCTGCTTTCTCCAATAATTGTAAAGGGAATAGGGATCTGAGGATTTGGCTGATGCTTCTCCCAAACTGCACTGTGCCAGAGCCTGGGAATGTGAGGGTTAGGGAGACAAGGGTGAGGAAAAATGCTGCAACATATTCTACTGTTTTTAATACAATTTTTAAATATGCATTCACTTTATTGCTATATATCTTTGACTTTTTTCAAGCACTCCTATAAAATAATTTTAGCCAATTTCTAGTTGTTTATTTTATATTTCTATGGGGAAATGAGGGCCTGGAGATTCCTAGTCTGCCATCTTGCTAATGTCACTCTTATTAGGCATTTTTGCAGGTAGAGTTCACAAGTACAGGGTTTTAACTGCTGGTTATTATGACTGCTTTCTTCCTTGTCACTGGGGTTACTTTATGTAATAGATGAATAAATACTCGACTCAAGTATTTATTACTTTATGACCAAGTAAATTGTTGTACACTCCATATAGGGGCCATCCCTCATGTTTGTTACAATGATAGCAACTTGATCAGAAAAAGTCCCAAGTTTACTAGTATATCTTTCTGTAGTTAAAAAATGTTTTCAAAATCCAATCCACAAGATTGAAAGCTGCTTAGAAAGTCTATGGCCTCAGATCTACAAACGTAATGAGATCGATGTTCCCTTACATCTCATTAATCTCCTCACAAGGATTCCTACTAAATTAAGTTCTTGCAACTCTCCTTTTTTGCTTTGCCTAATTTGTATCTTCTGTACCTGATAATTAAATGCCTGGTTTACATAAAGTGTGACTGATTTCTAATTGCTTTCAACAGAGAATCTCAGGGGATCTAAATATATTTTATGCCTTTGTAACTTTCAGTCTCCTTCATGAAGAAGTGAGTGTCTCCACCTACCTTTGTATCGTTTGGAAGGGTTGATCAACATGTGACCTTTAAGTTCAGCAATGTTTCACAGTTTTTCTTTTAGCTAAAGAAAAAAATGAATGATTTCTATTTGAACTATATTGGAGCACCCTTGCAGTTTATATTTATGTGAGGAGGTTTGAGAAAGTTTATTTTAAATATATTGACAGGACCAGGCATGGTGGCTCATGCCTCTAATCCCAGCACTTTGTGAGACAGAGGCAGGCAGATCACTTGAGCTCAGGAGTTTGAGACAAGCCTGAGCAACATAGTGAAACCCCATCTCTACTTAAAATAATAATAATAATAAGCCAGATATGGTGGCATGCACCTGCAATCCAAACTACTCTGGAGGCTGAGGTGGGAAAATTACCGAACCTGGGAAGTCAAGGCTTCAGTGAGCCATGATCATGCCACTGCACTTCAGCCTGGGTGACAGAAGTGAGACTCTGCCTCAGTAAATAAATAAATGATTTGACAGGCACATCTAGATTCCTCAACAGAGTCTAAGAAGTCACCTTTAAACAATATAAGACTCACACAAACATTCTGATAACTCTCAAAGTAATTGGCACCTTTATTTAAGAAGAGAGAGAGACAGAGAGAGAGAGAGAGAGAGAGAGAGAGAGAAAATCCTGGCTAATTAATACAAAAGGATAGTTTTCAGTTCCAGTTTTACACAAGAAACAGAAAGAGAGCAAGCAAGAACCCACATCTCACATGTTATTGAAACTTCCTTTAGAATATATTAAAGATGTTGAGGTTTGCTTTTCTTTGTTAAGGCAAAAAGTCTCAGCCAAGGAGACAGAGACTCCCCTTAAAGACCAATGCATGATTGTTATTTTCAACACCCTTTTTCCTGTTTCTTCCCAGAATCTAAGAGCCTCTGCAAGACCCAGAGCTGACCGCAGTCCACTGAAGTTATCTTTTTTTTTTATTATTATACTTTAAGTTTTACAGTACATGTGCACATTGTGCAGGTTACTTACATATGTATACATGTGCCATGCTGGTGCACTACACCCACTAACTCATCATCTAGCATTAGGTATATCTCCCGATGCTATCCCTCCCCCCTCCCCCCACCCCACCACAGTCCCCAGAGTGTGATATTCCCCTTCCTGTGTCCATGTGATCTCATTGTTCAATTCCCACCTATGAGTGAGAATATGCGGTGTTTGGTTTTTTGTTCTTGCAATAGTTTACTGAGAATGATTTCCAATTTCATCCATGTCCCTACAAAGGACATGAACTCATCATTTTTTATGGCTGCATAGTATTCCATGGTGTATATGTGCCACATTTCCTTGATCCAGTCTATCATTGTTGGACATTTGGGTTGGTTCCAAGTCTTTGCTATTGTGAATAATGCCGCAATAAACATACGTGTGCATGTGCCTTTATAGCAGCATGATTTATAGTCCTTTGGGTATATACCCAGTAATGGGATGGCTGGGTCAAATGGTATTTCTAGTTCTAGATCCCTGAGGAATCGCCACACTGACTTCCACAATGGTTGAACTAGTTTACAGTCCCACCAACAGTGTAAAAGTGTTCCTATTTCTGCACATCCTCTCCAGCACCTGTTGTTTCCTGACTTTTTAATGATTGCCATTCTAAGTGGTGTGAGATGGTATCTCATTGTGGTTTTGATTTGCATTTCTCTGATGGCCAGTGATGATGAGCATTTTTTCATGTGTTTTTTGGCTGCATAAATGTCTTCTTTTGAGAAGTGTCTGTTCATGTCCTTCGCCCATTTTTTGATGGGGTTGTTTGTTTTTTTCTTGTAAATCTGTTTGAGTTCATTGTAGATTCTGGATATTAGCCCTTTGTCAGATGAGTAGGTTGCGAAAATTTTCTCCCATTTTGTAGGTTGCCTGCTCACTCTGATGGTAGTTTCTTTTGCTGTGCAGAAGCTCTTTAGTTTAATTAGATCCCATTTGTCAATTTTGTCTTTTGCTGCCATTGCTTTTGGTGTTTTAGACATGAAGTCCTTGCCCATGCCTATGTCCTGAATGGTATTGCCTAGGTTTTCTTCTAGGGTTTTTATGGTTTTAGGTCTAACGTTTAAGTCTTTAATCCATCTTGAATTGATTTTTGTATAAGGTGTAAGGAAGGCATCCAGTTTCAGGTTTCTCCATATGGCTAGCCAGTTTTCCCAGCACCATTTATTCAATAGGGAATCCTTTCCCCATTGCTTGTTTTTGCCAGGTTTGTCAAAAATCAGATAGTTGTAGATATGCGGCGTTATTTCTGAGGGCTCTGTTCTTTTCCATTGATCTGTATCTCTGTTTTGGTACTAGTACCATGTTGTTTTGGTTACTGTAGCCTTGTAGTATAGTTTGAAGTCAGGTAGTGTGATGCCTCCAGCTTTGTTCTTTTGGCTTAGGATTGACTTGGCGATGTGGGCTCTTTTTTGGTTCCATATGAACTTTAAAGTAGTTTTTTCCAATTCTGTGAAGAAAGTCATTGGTAGCTTGATGGGGATGGCATTGAATCTGTAAATTACCTTGGGCAGTGTGGCCATTTTCACGATATTGATTCTTCCTACCCATGAGCATGGAATGTTCTTCCATTTGTTGGTATCCTCTTTTATTTCCTAGAGCAGTGGTTTGCAGTTCTCCTTGAAGAGGTCCTTCACATCCCTTGTAAGTTGGATTCCTAGGTATTTTATTCTCTTTGAAGCAATTGTGAATGGGATTTCCCTCATGATTTGGCTCTCTGTTTGTCTGTTATTGGTGTATAAGAATGCTTGTGGTTTTTGTACATTGATTTTGTATCCTGAGACTTTGCTGAAGTTGCTTATCAGCTTAAGGAGATTTTGTGCTGAGACAATGGGGTTTTCTAGATATACAATCATGTCGTCTGCAAACAGGGACAATTTGACTTCCTCTTTTCCTAATTGAATACCCTTTATTTCCTTCTCCTGCCTAATTGGCCTGGCCAGAACTTCCAACACTATGTTGAATAGGAGTGGTGAGAGAGGGCATCCCTGTCTTGTGCCAGTTTTCAAAGGGAATGCTTCCAGTTTTTGCCCATTCAGTATGATATTGGCTGTGGGTTTTTCATAGATAGCTCTTATTATTTTGAAATATGTCCCATCAATACCTAATTTATTGAGAGTTTTTAGCATGAAGGGTTGTTGAATTTTGTCAAAGGTTTTTTCTGCATCTATTGAGATAATCATTTGGTTTTTGTCTTTGGCTCTGTTTATATGCTGGATTACATTTATTGATTTGCGTATATTGAACCAGCCTTGCATCCCAGGGATGAAGCCCACTTGATCATGGTGGATAAGCTTTTTGATGTGCTGCTGGATTCGTTTTGCCATTATTTTATTGAGGATTTTTGCATTAATGTTCATCAAGGATATTGGTCTAAAATTCTCTTTTTTGGTTGTGTCTCTGCCCAGCTTTGGTATCAGAATGATGCTGGCCTCATAAAATGAGTTAGGGAGGATTCCCTCTTTTTCTATCGATTGGAATAATTTCAGAAGGAATGGTACCAGTTCCTCCTTGTACCTCTGGTAGAATTCAGCTGTGAATCCATCTGGTCCTGGACTCTTTTTGGTTGGTAAACTATTGATTATTGCCACAATTTCAGAGCCTGTTATTGGTCTATTCAGAGATTCAACTTCTTCCTGGTTTAGTCTTGGGAGAGTGTATGTGTCCAGGAATTTATCCATTTCTGCTAGATTTTCTAGTTTATTTGTGTAGAGGTGTTTGTAGTATTCTCTGATGGTAGTTTGTATTTCTGTGGGATTGGTGGTGATATCCCCTTTATCATTTTTTATTGTGTCTATTTGATTCTTCTCTCTTTTTTTCTTTATTAGTCTTGCTAGCGGTCTATCAGTTTTGTTGATCCTTTCAAAAAACCAGCTCCTGAATTCATTAATTTTTTGAAGGGTTTTTTGTGTCTCTATTTCCTTCAGTTCTGCTCTGATTTTAGTTATTTCTTGCCTTCTGCTAGCTTTTGAATGTGTTTGCTCTTCCTTTTGTAGTTCTTTTAATTGTGATGTTAGGGTGTCAATTTTAGATCTTTCCTGCTTTCTCTTGTGGGCATTTAGTGCTATAGATTTCCCTCTACACACTGCTTTGAATGTGTCCCAGAGATTCTGGTATGTTGTGTCTTTGTTCTCATTGGTTTCAAAGAACATCTTTATTTCTGCCTTCATTTCGTTATGTACCCAGTAGTCATTCAGGAGCAGGTTGTTCAGTTTCCATGTAGTTGAGTGGTTTTGAGTGAGATTCTTAATCCTGAGTTCTAGTTTGATTGCAGTGTGGTCTGAGAGATAGTTTGTTAAAATTTATGTTCTTTTACATTTGCTGAGGAGTGCTTTACTTCCAACTCTGTGGTCAATTTTGGAATAGGGGTGGTGTGGTGCTGAAAAAATGTATATTCTGTTGATTTGGGGTGGAGAGTTCTGTAGATGTCTTTTAGGTCTGCTTGGTGCAGAGCTGAGTTCAATTCCTGGGTACCCTTGTTGACTTTCTGTCTCGATCTGTCTAATGTTGACAGTGGGGTGTTAAAGTCTCCCATTATTAATGTGTGGGAGTCTAAGTCTCTTTGAATGTCACTCAGGACTTGCTTTATGAATCTGGGTGCTCCTGTATTGGGTGCATATATATTTAGGATAGTTAGCTCTTCTTGTTGAATTGATCCCTTTACCATTATGTAATGGCCTTCTTTGTCTCTTTTGATCTTTTTTGGTTTAAAGTCTGTTTTATCAGAGACTAGGATTGCAACCCCTGTCTTTTTTTGTTTTCCATTTGCTTGGTAGATCTTCCTCCATCCTTTTATTTTGAGCCTATGTGTGTCTCTGCACATGAGATGGGTTTCCTGAATACAGCACACTGATGGATCTTGACTCTTTTTCCAATTTGCCAGTCTGTGTCTTTTAATTGGGGCATTTAGTCCATTTACATTTAAAGTTAATATTGTTATGTGTGAATTTGATCCTGTCATTATGATGTTAGCTGGTTATTTTGCTCGTTAGTTGATGCAGTTTCTTCCTAGTCTCGATGGTCTTTACATTTTGGCATGATTTTGCAGCGGCTGGTACCAGTTGTTCCTTTCCATGTTTAGTGCTTCCTTCAGGAGCTCTTTTAGAGCAGGCCTGGTGGTGCCAAAATCTCTCAGCATTTGCTTGTCTGTAAAGTATTTTATTTCTCCTTCACTTATGAAGCTTAGTTTGGCTGGATATGAAATTCTGGGTTGAAAATTCTTTTCTTTAAGAATGTTGAATATTGGCCCTCACTCTCTTCTGGCTTGTAGGGTTTCTGCCGAGAGATCCGCTGTTAATCTGATGGGCTTCCCTTTGAGAGTAACCCGACCTTTCTCTCTGGCTGTGCTTAACATTTTTTCCTTCATTTCTACTTTGGTGAATCTGACAATTATGTGTCTTGGAGTTGCTCTTCTCGAGGAGTATTTTTGTGGCTTTCTCTGTATTTCCTGAATCTGAACGTTGGCCTGCCTTCCTAGATTGGGGATGTTCTCCTGGATAATATCCTGCAGAGTGTTTTCCAACTTCGTTCCATTCTCCCCATCACTTTCAGGTCCACCAATCAGACGTAGATTTGGTCTTTTCACATAGTCCCATATTTCTTGGAGGCTTTGCTCATTTCTTTTTATTCTTTTTTCTCTAAACTTCCCTTCTCGCTTCATTTCATTCATTTCATCTTCCATCACTGATACCCTTTCTTCCAGTTGATCGCATCGGCTCCTGAGGCTTCTGCATTCTTCACGTAGTTCTCGAGCCTTGGTTTTCAGCTCCATCAGCTCCTTTAAGCACTTCTCTGTATTGGTTATTCTAGTTATACATTCTTCTAAATTTTTTTCAAAGTCTGATCCATTGAAGTTATCTTAAAACTTCTTTTGTTCAAGCAGACAGGCTTTGACATGGTATGTGCAAGAGACTGTATTTTTTTTTCTTGTCAAGCTTTACAACAGAGCTGACCTTAATTGAGAAAAAATGAGATATTTTAATCTCACGTTTGAGTAGGGATGAGTTCTTCTGCCTGTTAATGGGAATTAACTGAGGCCTGTATTCTCTTTCCAAACAGTACCTCAGAATGGAAATTCCCTCCACTACATCTATTCACCAGAAAGGGAACCCAGGATAATCAGTCACATAGGAGGGTCAATTACTAAAAGGTTACTCTCACTCAAGGGTCAGGACCTTGCTTAAAGAGGTGGAGTTGGGAATTGGAGATCACTAGAAGTCTGAAAGGGTGGCAGAAGAGGGTGACAAAGGGGGGAATCTGATAAACTCTCTTTCTACTCTCAGGATCTTTACCTCTGCATTTCAAGTGAGGTTACACTTGGGAGTTGATGATGTGACGAAAATAACAAAGCAACCAAGCGGTCATGGCTATTAGGCAGTCACACAAGTCATAAATGGCTACTGAGGCCCAGGACCTGAAGGGATATTCCCAAAAGGGGTCTAAATTACAGCAGCTTCCCTCCCAATGTCATTAACAGACATATAGACAGTACCTGCATGTCAGCACTCAACATAACTTTGAGGACAAGAGAAATGTGTCTTTGCACACTTCTCCCCAATTTAGCTCCTCTGGTTATTTCTCCTGTGATGTTACCCACTGCTTCCCTTTACATCACACATGCACACACTTTTACATAAAAACACCTGTGCACACACATATACATTTATCCTGTTTCCTGTGATGCATCTGAAATATATCATGTCCTATTCCCACTAGGTTGTCTATTAATCTCTACTTAAAGCATTAGTTGATCATAACTTAGGATGTACCTCTTTCCGAAGTCATTTAATAGAGGGATTGGGAAAACCAAAAGGTTTCCCATTCTTGCCAAGAATAACTCTCTAAGGATATACTAAAAGGGATTAGAGGGCATAATCAGGCATAGGGAGAAAGTAACATTAGACTGAAAGAAGATCCAGGTTTTCTGATGCAACGAGGCCACTTTAGGCAAGTTAAAAACACTGTATGAAGCCTCTGTTTTCTTATCTGGAAAATGGAGAAAATAAGAATAATTGCACTTTATAAAATGAAGCATTATTGATTATATTGTTTTATTTTATAATTTTTAGAGGATACAACTGAAATTTTGTTACATTCATATGAAGTTCCAGAGTGTTGCTGAAAGATCCTTTGACCACATCACTTACAGAGTTCTCAAACTACAAGTACACTCTTTCCTGTAGTGAATAGACTGTGAGATCCTCTGCCTCTACATAGGAGGCAACACAGAAGATGCCCTAAGACTGAGATCAAAAAGTGAGAAAACCTTTTGGTTTCTAGTAGAGAATAAGGTTGTAAAGACGGGATATAAGATGAAGATGCATCAATAGTTAGGGAAGGTCAAGAAAGCATGGGGAATAACAAAGGACTTGACCCAAAGCAAATGTCCAGTAATACAGGATTTCTTAAATAAATTACAGTAAATCTATGAAATGGAACATGCTATAGCTGCAAATAAGGATGAGAAAACATTTTATCTACTGACATGGTATATTGTCATGAAATATTAAGTTAAAAAAATCAGAGTAAGGGGCAGAGTATAGTACACTACCTTTGGAAAACTAAAAAGAAAAATAAAAGCATATGTTAATATTTGCTTGTATTTTTATTAAGAAACAAAGCTATACAAGGGACTAATAAAAGTCACATCTGTGAGGTATGGAGGGAACTAGGCAGATGGAGGACAAAGGTAAGATGGAGAGTTTAACTGTATACAATTATATGTATAGAATACATACACATATTTATTTTTTGATTATGTGAATATATCTTCTATACAAATATTAAATAAAATTATTTTAAGTGTTGTTCACCCGCATGAATTCATGTGTTCCCATCGTTCAGTTCTCATAAGTGAGAACATGTGATGTTTGGTTTTCCATTCCTGCGTTAGTTTGGTAAAGACAACAGCTTCCAGCTCCATCCATGTCTCTGCAAAAGACATAATCTTTTTCCTTTTTATGGCTTCATGGTATTCCATGGTGTATATGTACCACATTTTCTTTAACCAGTCTATCATCAATGGACATTTGGATTGATTCCATGTCTTTGCTATTGTGAATAGTGAATAGTGCTGCAATGAACATACACATGTATGTATCTTTATATTAGAATGATTTATAGTCCTTTGGGTATACCCAGTAATAAGATTCCTAGGTCAAATGGGTATATCTTCCTGCAGATCTTTGAGGAATTGCCACACTGTCTTCCACAATGGTTGAACTAATTTATACTCCCACTAAGAATGTAAAACATCACATTTTCTCTGCAACCTCGCTAGTATTTGTTGTTTTTTGACTTTTTAATAATTGCCATTCTGACTGGCATGAGATGGTATCTCACTGTGGTTTTGATTTGCATTTCTGTAATGATCAGTGATGTTGAGTTTTTTCGTGTTCATTGGCCACATGAGTCTTCTTTTGAGAAGTGTCAGTTTATGTACTTTGCCCACTTTTTAATGGAGTTGTTTGGGGTTTTTTTGTAAGTAAAATTGTTTAAGTTCCTTGTAGATTCTGGTTATTAGACTTTTGTCAGATGGATAGATTGCAAAAGTTTTCTCCCACTCTGTAGGTTGCCTGTTAACTCTGATGATAGTTTCTTTTGCTGTGCAGAAGCTCTTTAGTTTAATTAGATCTCATTTGTCGATGTTTGCTTTTGTTGCCTTTGCTTTCGGCATTTTCATCATGAAGTCTTTGCCTGTGCCTATGTCATGAATGGTTTGCCTAGGTTTTTCCCCACCATTTTTATATTTGGGTTTTGCATTTATGTCTTTAAACAATCCTGAGTTAATTTTTGTATAAGGTGTAAGGAAGGAGTCTTGTTTCAATTTTCTGCATATGGTTAGCCAGTTCTCACAGCACCATTTATTAAATAGGGAATCCTTGCCCCATTGACTGTTTTTGTAAGGTTTTTTGAAGATCAGATGGTTGTAGGTGTGCGGTCTTATTTCTGAGTTCTCTATTCTGTTTCATTGGTCTATGTGTCTTTTTTGTACCAGTACCGTGCTGTTTTGGTTACTGTCACCCTGTAGTAGCATGATTCCTCCAACTTCATTCTTTTTTCCTAGAATTGTCTTGGCTATTCGGGCTCTTTTTAGTTCCATATGAATTTTAAAAGTGCTTCTTCTCATTCTGTGAAGAATGGAAATGGTACCATTGAATCTATAAATTACTTTGGGTGGTATGGCCATTTTCACAATATTGAATCTTCCTATTCATGAGCATGAAATATTTTTCCATTTGTTTGTGTCCCCTCTGATTTCCTTGAGCAGTGGTTTGTAGTTCTCCTTGAAGAGGTCCTTCACTTCCCTTGTTAGCTGTATTCCTAGGTATTTTATTCACTTTGTAGCCATTGTGAATGGGATTTCATGATTTGGCTCTCTGTTTGTCTGTTGTTGGTGTATAGAAATGCTTGTGATTTTTGCACATAGATTTTGTACCCTGAGACATTGCTGAAGTCTCTTATCAGCTTAAGGAGCTTTTGGGTTGAGACAATGGGGTTTTCTAGATATAGGATCATGTCATCTGCAAACAAAGACAATTGTACTTTCTCTTTTCCTATTTGAATACACTTTATTTCTTTCTCTTGCCTGATTGCCCTGGCGAGCACTTCCAATAACATGTTGAACAGGAGTGGTGAGAAAGGGCATACTTGTCTTGTACTGGTTTTCAAAGGGAATGCTTCCAGCTTTTGCCCATTCAGTAAGATATTGGCTGTGGGTTTGTCATAAGTAGCTCTTATTATTTTGAGATATGTTCCATCAATATCTAGTTTATTAAGAGGTTTTACCATGAAGAGATGTTGAATTTTATCAAAGGCCTTTCCTGTATTCATTGAGATAATCATGTGATTTTTGTCTTTAGTTCTGTTTATGTGATAAATCACATTTATTGATTTGCATATGTTGAACCAGCTCATTCTGGGAATGAAGCTAACTTGATCTTGGTGGATAAGCTCTTTGATGTGCTGCTGGATTTGCTTTGCCAGTATTTCATTGAGGATTTTTGCATCAAAGTTGATTAGAGATTTGGCCCGAAGTTTTCTTTTTCTGTTGTATCTCTGCCAGGTTTTGGCATCAGGATGATGCTGGTGTCATAAAATGAGTTAGAGAACAGTCCTTCTTTTCCAATTTTTAAAAATAGTTTCAGTAAAACTATTACCAGCTCTTCTTTGTACCTCTGATAGAATTCAGCGTAAATCTGTATGGTCCTGAGCTCTTTTTTTCTGGTTCGTAAGCTATTTATTACTGCCTCAGTTCCAGAACTCGTTATTGGTCTATTTAGGGATTCAATTTCTTTTCGATTCAGTCTTGAGAGAGTGCATGTGTCCAGGAATTTATCCATTTCTTCTAGATTTTCTACTTTATGTGCATAGAAGTGTTTATAGTATTCTCTGATGGCTGTCTGTATTTCTGTAGGGGCAGGGGTGATATCCCCCTTTTCATTTCTGATTGAGTCTATTTGATTCTTCTCTCTTCTTTTATTAGTCTAGATAGTGGTCCATCTATTTTATTAATGTTTTCAAAGAAACAGCTCATGGATTTGTTAATTTTTTGAAGAGTATTTTGTGTCTCTATCTTTTTCACTTCAGCTCTGATCTTGGTTATTTTGTGTCTTCTGCTAGCTGTAGGGTTTTTTGCTCTTGGATCTCTAGTTCTTTTAGCTGTGATGTTAGGTCTTTAAGTTGAAATCTTTCTAGCTTTTTTATGTGAGTGTTATTGCTATACATTTCCCTCGTAGTACTGCTTTACCTGTGTTCCAGAGATTATGGTACATTTTCTCTTTGTTCTCATGAGTTTCAAAGAACTGCTTGATTTCCACCTTAATTTCAGTATTTACACAAATGTCATTCAGGAGCAGGTTTTTCAATTTCCATGTAGTTTTGTGGTTTTGAGTAAATCTAATTTGTGAGTTTTAATTTGATTGTGCTGTGGTCTGAGTAACTGTTTTATGATTTCAGATCTTTTGCATTTGCTGTGGAGTGTTTTGCTTCCAATTTTGATCAATTTTATAGTGCCATGTGGCACTGAGAAGAATGTATATTCTGTTGTCTTCAGGGGGAGACTTCTGTAGCTATCTATTAGGTGCACCCTATTCAGAGCTGAGTTCAGTTCCTGAATATCTGTGTCAATTTTCTGTCTCAATAGTCTGTCTAATATTGTCAGTGGGGTGTTAAAGTCTCCAACTATTGTTCTGTGGGAGTCTAAGTCTCTTTGTAGGTCTCTAAGAACTTGCTTTATGAATCTGGGTGTTCCTGTATTGGGTGCATGTATATTTAGGATAGTTAGTTCTTCTTGCTGAATTGAACCTATTTCATTATGTAATGCCCTTCTTAGTATTTTTTTTTATCTTTGTTGCTTTAATGTCTGTTATGTCAGAAACTAGGATTGCAACCTCTGCTTTTTTTGTTTTCCATTTGCTTGGTAAATTTTTTTCCACCCCTTTATTTTGAGCCTATGTCTGTCTTTGCACATGAGATGAGTCTCTGAAAGGCAGCATACCAGTGAGTCTTGTCTCTATCCAGCCTGCCATTCTGCTTCTTTTAATTGGGGCATTTACCATTCAGGACACAGGCATGGGCAAGGACTTCATGTCTAAAACACCAAAAGCAATGGCAACACAAGACAAAATTGACAAATGGGATCTAATTCAACTAAAGAGCTTCTGCATAGCAAAAGAAACTACCATCAGAGTGAACAGGCAACCTACAAAATGGGAGAAAATTTTTGCAACCTACTCATCTGACAAAGGGCTAATATCCAGAATCTACAATGAACTCAAACAAATTTACAAGAAAAAAACAAACAACCCCATCAAAAAGTGGGCGAAGGACATGAACAGACACTTCTCAAAAGAAGACATTTATGCAGCCAAAAAACACATGAAAAAATGCTCATCATCACTGGCCATCAGAGAAATGCAAATCAAAACCACAATGAGATACCATCTCACACCACTTAGAATGGCAATCATTAAAAAGTCAGGAAACAACAGGTGCTGGAGAGGATGTGCAGAAATAGGAACACTTTTACACTGTTGGTGGGACTGTAAACTAGTTCAACCATTGTGGAAGTCAGTGTGGCGATTCCTCAGGGATCTAGAACTAGAAATACCATTTGACCCAGCCATCCCATTACTGGGTATATACCCAAAGGACTATAAATCATGCTGCTATAAAGACACATGCACACGTATGTTTATTGTGGCATTATTCACAATAGCAAAGACTTGAAACCAACCCAAATGTCCAACAATGATAGACTGGATTAAGAAAATGTGGCACATATACACCATGGAATACTATGCAGCCATAAAAAATGATGAGTTCATGTCCTTTTTAGGGACATGGATGAAATTGGAAATCATCATTCTCAGTAAACTATTGCAAGAACAAAAAACCAAACACCGCATATTCTCACTCATAGGTGGGAATTGAACAATGAGATCACATGGACACAGGAAGGGGAATATCACACTCTGGGGACTGTGGTGGGGTGGGGGGAGGGGGGAGGGATAGCATCGGGAGATATACCTAATGCTAGATGACGAGTTAGTGGGTGCAGCGCACCAGCATGGCACATGTATACATATGTAACTAACCTGCACAATGTGCACATGTACCCTAAAACTTAAAGTTAATAAAAAAAAAATTGGGGCATTTAGCCCATTTACATTTAAGGTTAGAATTGTTATGTGTGAATTTGTGCCTGTCATCATGATGCTAGCTGGTTATTTTGCAGACTTGTTTATGTGGTTGCTTCATACTGTCTCTGATCTTTTTACTTCAGTGTGTTTTTGTAGTGGCTGGTAATGTTTTTATCTTTCAATATTTAGTACTTCCTTCAGGAGCTCTTGCAAGGCAGGCCTGGTGGTGATGAATTCCCTCAGCATTTGCTTGTCTGAAAAGTATTTTTTTTTCCTTCACTTATATAGCTTAATTTGGTCGAGAATGAAATTTTCTGTTGGAGTTTTTTTTTTTTTGAGACACAGTCTTGCTCTGCCACCCAGGCTAGAGTCCAGTGGTGTGATCTTGGCTCACTGCAACCTCTCCCTCCTGGGTTCAAGTGATTCTCCTGCCTCAGCCTCCTGAGTAGCTGGGATTACAGGTGCCTGCTACCATGCCTGGCTAATTTTTGTATATTTAGTAGAGACAGGGTTTCACCATGTTGGCAAAGCTGGTCTCGACCTCTTGACCTCAGGTGATCTGCCTGCCTTGGCCTCCCAAAGTGCTGGGATTACAGGTGTGAGCCACCACCCCGGGCTCTTTTTTTTTTTTTTTCTTGAGATGGAGTCTCACTCTGTCACCCAGGCTGGAGTGCAGTGGCACAGTCTCAGCTCACTGCAACATCCACCTCCCAGGTTCAAGCAATTCTCCTGCCTCTGCCTCTCAAGTAGCTGGGATTACAAGCACCTGCCGCCACACCCGGCTAATTTTTGTTTTCTTAGTAGAGATGGGGTTTCCCCATGTTGGCCAGGCTGGTCACGAACTCCTGACCTCAGGTGATCCACTCGCCTTGGCCTCCCAAAGTGCTGGGATTACAGGCATGAGCCACTGCACCCAGCTGGAAATTTTTAAGAATGTTGAATATTGGCCCCCAACCTCTTTTGGCTTGCAGGGTTTACACTGAGAGATCTGCTGTTAGTCTGTTGGATTTCCCTTTGTAGGTGACCTGACCTTTCTCTCTGGCTTCCCTTAACATTTTTTCTTTCCTTTCGACCTCAGAGAATTTGATGATTATGTGTCTTGGGGTTGATCTTCTCATGGAGTATCTTACTAGGTTCCTCTGGATTTCCTGAATTTGAATGTTGACCTGTCTTGCTGAGTTGGAGAAGTTCTCCTGGATGTGAAGTATGTTTTTTAACTTGGTTCTGTTCTCCCCATCTCCTTCAGGAAACCCAATCAGTCATAGGTTCAGTCTTTTTGCATAGTCCCATATTTCTTCCGGGTTTTTTTCATTCCTTTTCTTTTTTCTTTATTCTTGCCTGCCTGTATTATTTCAGAAAGATAGTCTTCAAGCTCTGAGATTCTTTCTTCTGCTTGATCTATTCTCTATTGATACTTGTGATCGCATTGTGAATTTCTCGTGTTTTTTAGCTCCATCAGGTCAGTTTTGCTCCTCTCCACATTAACTATTCTGTTTATCAGCTCCTTTATTGTTTTATCATGATTCTTAGCTTCTTTGCACTGGGTTACAATATGCTTCTGTAGCTCAGCCAAGTTCATTATTACCCAGCTTCTGAAGCCTACTTCTGTCAATTCAGCCATCTCAGCCTCAGCCCAGTTCTATGCCATTGCTGGACAGGTGTTGCAGCCATTTGGAGGAGAAGACGCACTCTGGCTTTTTTAGTTTTCAGCATTTTTGCATTTACTCTTTATCATCTTTGTGGGCTTATCTACCTTTAATTTTTGAGGTTGCTGACCTTTTAATGGGGTTTTGTGGCATCTTTTTTGTTGACGTTGTTGTTGTTGCTGTTTGTTTTTCTTTTAACAGTCAGGCCACTATTCCATAATAGTTTGCTGGGAGATCGCTCCAGACCCTATTTGCCTCAGTTTTTCCCTTACCGGGAGGTATCATCAGTGAAGGCTGTGAAACAGCAAAGGTGGCAGACAGCTTTTTCCTTTGGGAGCTCAATCCCAGGGGGTTTCTGAACTGTGGCCAGCCCAGACACTCCTCTAGGAAGTGACTTGAGACCCTGTTGGGATGTCTCACCCAGTCAGGAGGGATGGGATCAGGGACCCGCTTAAAGAAGCAGTCTGGCTGTTCTTTGGTAGAGCAGGTGTGCTGCATTGTGAGGAACCCTTCCTCGTCCAGACCACCTGGACTCTCCAGAGCCAGTAGGCTGGAAAGGCTGAGTCAACTGAAATGCAGACACATTGGCCACCCCTCCTCCCAGGGGCTCCATCCCAGGGAGAGTTCAGAATTCTGTCTGTATAGCCCTGGCTGGAGTTGCTGAAATTCCCACAGAGAGGCCCTGCCCAGTGAGGAGGGATGAATTGGGGTCCCACTTAAAGAAGCAGTCTGGCCACAATCTGACACATCAGCTGTGCTGCATTGTTGGAAACTCCTTTTTTGGACCACCTGGACTTCTCAGAGCTGGCGGACTAGAATGTCTGAGTCAACCTAACTGTGGAAATGGTGGCTGCCCCTCCAACTAGGAATTCACCCATCTCAGGCAGTCTTCAGCCTGTTGTGCTTGTTGGCTGGAATTCCACGCCAGTGGGTCTTAACTTGTTAGGTGCCATGGAAGGCAGGCCCACAGAATGATGCTCTTTGGATCCTTGGATTCAGCCCCCTTCCAAGGAGAATGTACGGATGGATCTCCCACCCTGCTGAGATTTCCAGGACTGGTGTCTGTAAGCTCCTGGGTCTCTGTGTGAGCTCGAATGACTGCTTTGCCAAGACTCTGCACAGCTCTGTGTATCAAACCCAAGACCCTAGTGGCGTGGGCTCACGAGAGGATCTCCTGATATGAAGGTTGCAAAGATTTGTGACAGAAGCATGGTTTCTCAGGTGGAGTCACATGATCACTCACCTCTTCCCTTGGCTGAGGGTGGGGGTTGCTTTGATTTCATGCCTCTCTTGTATGGACCATCTCCCCAACCTACTTTTCTTCCTTCTCCATGGTTCAAGTTGTCTGCCTAGTCAGTCCCAATGTGAGAACCTGGATATTTCAGTTGAAGATGCTGAATTCACTCTCCATTTTCATTCCCCTCCGTGAGAACCGTGAAGAGCAGCTGCTTCCAATTGGCCACCTTGGCCCCTTCTTCTAATCATGCATTTTTAACCATTTCTTTATCTTGTCAATATAAGTTGGAAGATAAAACTGAAAAGCTGATCTTTCCATTTCTTTTTTAACTTTTATTTGAGGTTCAGTGATACATGTACAGGTTCATTATATAGGTAAGTTGTATGTCACAGGGGCTTGGTGTAAAGATTATTTAATCACTCGAAATAAGCATGGTACATGATAGGTAGTTTTTCCATCCTCTCCCTTGTCTTGCACTCCAACCTTAAATAGTCCCTGGTGTCTGTTGTTTTTCCTTCTCTGTGTCCATGTGTATTTAATGTTTACCTCCCACTTATAAGGAGAACATGTGGTATTCGGTTTTCTGTTCCTGAATTAGTTAACTTAGAATTATGCCCTCCAGATGTATCCATATTGCTTCAAAGGATATTAGCTCATTCTTTTTTATGGCTACATAGTATTCCATGGTGCATATGTATCACATTTTCTTTAACCAGTCTACTGTTGATGGGTACATAGGTTTATTCCATAAGTTTGCTGTAGTGAATAGTGCTGTGATGAACATACACATGTATATGTCTTTATGGAAGAATGATTTACATTCCTTTGAGTATATACCTGATAATGGGATTGCTGGGTAGAGTGGTAGTTCTGTTTCAAGTTCTTTGAGAAATCATCACACTGCTTTTCACAATGGTTGAACTAATTTATATTCTCACAAGCAGTATGTATGCATTCCCTTTTCTCTGAAACCTTACTAGCATCTGTTATTTTTTGACTTTTTAATAAAACCCATTCTGACTGGGGTGAGATGATATGTCATTGTGTGGTCTTGATTTGCATTTGTCTGATAATGAATGAGGTTGGGCATCTTTTCATATACCTGTTTGCTATTTGTATGTCTTCTTTTGAGAAATGTCTATTCTAATCTTTTGCCCATTTTTTGGTTGAATTATTAGATTTTTTCATATAGAGTTATTTGAGTTACTTACATATTCTGGTTATTAATATTGCATCAGATGGATAATTTGCAAACATTTTCTCCCATTCTGTGGGTTGCTTTTCAATTTCCTGATTGTTACCTTTGCAATGCAGAAACATTTTAACTTGATAGAATCAAATTTGTCCATTTTTGCTTTCTTTGCCTGTGCTTGTGGGGTATTACTCAAAAAAATTTTGCCCAGACAATTATCTTGGAATGTTTCTCCCAAGTTTTTCTTTAAGTAGTTTTATAGTTTGAAGTCTTAAAGTCTGTAATCCATTTTGAATTGCTTTTTGTATGTGGCAAGATATAGAAGTCTACTTTTATTCTTTTGCATATGGATATCCAGTTTTCACAGCACCATTTATTGAAGAAACTGTCCTTGCTGTATTGCATGTTCTGGGAGCATTTGTTGAAAATGAGTTCACTGTAGATGTATGTATTTTTTTCTGAGTTCCCTGTTCTATTTCATTGGTCTATGTGTCTGTTTTTATTCCAGTATCATGCTATTTTGCTTACTATAGCTCTGTAGTATAATTTTAAATAAAATAATGTAATTCTTCCAGTTTGGTATTATTTTCACTATTCTGGAACTTTTGTTGTTCGATGTAAGTTTTTTTAATTTCTTATTTTAACTTTTGTGGTTTTTAGAATATTTTTCTAATTCTGTGAAGAATGTCGTTGGTGTTTTGATAGCAATTGAATTAAATGTATAAACTGTTGTGTGTAGTATGGACATTATAACAATATTGATTCTTCTAATCCAGGACCATGAAATATCTTTCCAATTTTTGGTGTCACATTCAATTTTTTCATCAGTGTTTTCTAGTTGTTGTTTGATTGAGTTATTTCCAAGGTGTTTAATTTGCTTTTACATTTAGATAGTGTAAGCAGAATTATTTTCTTGAGTTTTTTCAGATTGTTTGCTATTGGAACATAAATCTACTGATTTTTGTATGTTGATTTTATATCCTGCAATTTTACTGAATTTATCAGTTCTAAGTGTTTTGTTGGAGTCTTTAGATTTTCACAAATATAAGATCATATTATCTGCAAACAAGGATAATTTGACTTATTTCCTCTTTGAATGCACTTTATTTCTTTCTGTTGTCTGACTGTTCTTTTGAGAATTTCCAGTATTATGTTGAATAACAGTGTTGAAAGTGAACATCTTTGTTTTGTTCCAGATCTTAGAGAAAAGGCTTTTATTTTTTTCTCATTCATTATAATATAGCTGTGGGTCTGTCATATATGTCTTTTATTGCGAGGTATTTTTCTCCTATATCCAGTTTTTTGAGGGTTTTTCTCATGAAGGGATATTAAATTTCATCAAATAATTTTTCAGCATCAATTGAAATGATCATGATTATTGTCCTTCATTGTGTTTATATGATATATTACATTGATTGATTTGTGTATGTTGAATTATCATTCCATCCCCAAGATAAATCCCATTTGGTCATGATAAATGATCTTTTTAACATATTGTTGAATATAATTTGGTAGTATTTTTTGAGGATATTTGCATCAATATTCATCAGCATTATGGCCTATAGTTTTCTCTTTTTGTGTGTCTTTGGTTTTGGTATCAGGGCCTCATAGAATGTATTTGCAAGCATTCCCTCCAAACACAGAATGTATCTGGAAGCATTCCCTCCTCTATGTTTCAGAATAGTTTGAGCAGTGTTGATATTCTTATTTAAATGTATGGTGGAATTCAGCAGTGAGGCCGTTAGCTCCTGAGTGTTTCTTTGCTAGGAGATTTTTATTGCAACTTCAATCTCATTACCTGTTATTGGTCTCTTCAGGTTTGATTACTTCATGGTTCAATCTTGGTAGGTTGTATGTGTCTAGGAAATTATCTGTTTCTTCTAGATTTTCCTATTAATTGCCATATATTTGCTCATAATAGCCACTAATGATCCTATGTATTTCTGTGGCATAGTTGTATTGTTCTCTTTTTCATCTCTGGCTCTGTTTGAGTCTTCTCTTTTTTTTTTCTTGGTTTGTGTGACAAAAGGTTTGTCAATTTTGTTTACCTTTGAAAAAAGCCAACTCTTTATATTGTTGATCTTTTGTATTGTTTTCTTTGTTTCAACTTTATTTATTTTGACTCTTTACTTTTTTTATTCTACTAAATTGGGTTTGGTTTTCTCTTGCTTTTCTAGTTCTTTTAGATACATCATTAGATTATTTATGTGATGTTATTCTTCTTTTTGATGTAGATGCTTATAGTTATAAACTTCCCTCCTAAGACTGCTTTTACTGTATCCTGTATATTTTAGTATGTTGTTTCCATTATCATTTGTTTCCAAAAATTTTTAATTTACATCTTATTTTCTTCATTGATCCACTGGTCTTTCAAGAGCATATTATTTAATTTCCATCCATTTGTATAGTTCCCAAATTCCTCGTGTTATTGATTTCTAGTTTTATCCATTGTTGTCAGAGAAGATGCTTGATATTATTTCAGTATTTTTGAGTATTTTAAACCTTTTTTGTGACACAACACATGATTTGTTCTTTAGAGTGATTCATGTACTGAAGAAAAGAATGTGTATTCTGCAGTCATTGGATGAAGAAAAGTTCTATAAATATCTGTTACTCCCATTTGTTCTATAATGTAGATTAAGTTCCATATTTCCTTTTTTTTTTTTTTGAGATGGAGTCTCACTCTGTCATCAGGCTGGAGTGCAGTGGTGCCATCTCAGCTCCCTGCAACCTCTGCCCTCCGAGTTCAAGCGACTCTCCTGCCTCAGCTTCCCGAGTAGCTGGGATTACAGGTGCCTGCCACTGCACCCAGCTAATTTTTTGTATTTTTAGTAGATATGAGGTTTCACCTTCTTGGCCAGGCTGGTCTTGAATTCCTGACCTCATGATCCACCCACCTCGGCCTCCCAAAGTGCTGGGATTACAGGCATGAGCCACCACACTTGGCCTAAGTTCTATATTTCTTTGTTAATTTTCTTTGCAGAAGGTCCGTTCAGGTCAGAAAATGGGGTATTGAGGTCTCTTCCTATTATTGTGTTGGGGTCTATCTCTCTTTTTAGCACTAACGTGCTTTATATATGTGGTCACTCAAGTCTTAAATGCATATATATAACTACTATATATGTATATAAATATTATTTGTAATATATAAATAATTATATATAGGGTCAATTCAGCAAGAAAATATAACTGTCTCTATATATAATAGTTTTATATATAGATATAATAGTTATATGGATATTGATATTGATATAAATATAGATGTAATAGTAATATCCTCTTACTGAATTGATTCCTTTATCAGTATATAATGACATTGCCTCTTCTTATAGTTTTTATTTTGAAATCTTTTTTTTAATATAAGTACAGATACTTCCACTTTTTGGGTTTCCTTTTACATCGAATGTCTTTTTCCATCCTTTTATATCAGTCTATGTGTCTTTAGGATTAAATGTTTTTCTTGTAGGTAGCATGTACTTCAGTAACTTTTTAAAATTCATTCAGCCAATCTATGTCTTCCAAAAATGAAATTTTAATTTTTGTGGGTATATAGTATATATGTACATATATACTATATATAGCTCTGTAGTATAATTTTAAATAAGATAATGTAATTCTTCCAGTTTGGTGTTATTTTCACTATTCTTGAACTTTTGTTGTTCGATGTAAGTTTTTTTAATTTCTTATTTTAACTTTTGTGTTTTTTAGAATTTTTTTCTAATTCTGTGGAGAATGTCGTTGGTATTTTGATAGCAATTGAATTAAATGCATAAACTGTTGTGTGTATTATGGACATTATAACAATATTGATTCTTCTAATCCAGGACCATGAAATATCTTTCCAATTTTTGGTGTCACATTCAATTTTTTTCATCAGTGTTTTCTAGTTGTTGTTTGATTGAGATATTTTCAAGGTGTTTAATTTGATTTTACATGTAGATATTGTAAGCAGAATTATTTTCTTGAGTTTTTTCAGATTGTTTGCTGTTGGAATATAAATCTAATGATTTTTCTTGATTGTACATATATATATGATTGTACATACATATATTTATTGGGTACATGGGATGTGTTGATGCAGGCATAAAATGCACAGTAATCACATAATAAAGAATGGGGTATCTATCACTCAAGCATTTATCTTTTGTGTTACAAACAATACAATTATACTCTTTTAGCGATTTTAAAATGTACAATTAAATTATGATTGTATTTAGTCACCCTGTTATGCAATCAAATAGTAAGTCTTATTTATTCTTTTGAACTATTTTTTGATCCATTATCAATAACTACCTCTCCCCATTTCCCACTACACTTCCCAGCCTCTGGTAACCATTCTTCTACTCTCTATATCCATGAGTTCAATTGTTTTGAGTTTTAGGTCCCACAAATATATGAGAACATATGACGTTTATCTTTCTGTGCCTGGATTATATCACATAACATAATAATCTCCAGTACCATCCACGTTGTTGCAAATGGCAGAACATTATTATTTTTGTTGCCAACTAGTACTACATTATGTATACTTATCATGTTTTCTTTATCCCTTTATCTGTTGATAGGCACTTAGGTTGCTTCCAAATCTGGACTGTTGTGAATGTTGCTACAACAAACACGGTAGTGCAACTATCACTTCAATATACTGATTTTCTTTCTTTGGTGTATATATCCAGCAGTGGGACTGCTAGATCATATGGTAGTTCTATTTTTAGTTTTTTGAGGAGCCTCCAAACTGCTTTCCATACTGGTTGTACTAATTTACGTTCCTACCAACAGTGTACGAGGGTTTCCTTTTCTCCAGATCCTCACCAGAATTTGTTATTGGTTTCTTTTGGATATAAGCCATTTTAACTGGGGTGAGGTGATATCTCATTGTAGTTTAGCATTTCTCCCATGATTGATGATGTTGAGCACCTTTTCAAATGCCTGTTTTTCATTTGTATGTTGTCTTTTGAGAAATGTCTCTTTAAATCCTTTGACCAGCTTTTGATTACATTATTAGATTTTCTCCTATAGAGTTGCTTAATCTCCTTATATATTCTAGTTATTAATCCCTTGTCAGATAGGTAGTTTGATACTATTTTATCCTGTTCTGTGGGTTGTCTCTTTACCGTGTTCATTGTTTTCTTTGCTGTGAAGATACTTTTTTACCTTGATGTGATCCCATTTGTACATTTTTGCATTGGCTGTCTGTGCTTTTGGAATATTTCTCAAGAAAATTTTGCAGAGGTCAATGTCCTGGAGATTTTCCACAAAGTTTTCTTGTAGCACTTTCATAGTTTGATGTCTTAGATTCCTAAGTCTTTAATTGGTTTTGATTTAATTTTTGTATTTGGTGAGAGATAGGGGTCTGGTTTCATTCCTCTGCTCATACATATCAAGTTTTCCAGCACCATTTATTGTAGAGACTATCTTTTCTCCAATGTATATTCTTGGCACCTTTATTGAAAATGAGTTTACTGTAAGTGTGTGGGTTTGTTTCTGGGTTCTCTAGTCTTTTCAATTGGCCTATGTGTCTGTTTTATGCCAGTACCATGCTGTTTTGGTTACTACATCTCTGTAGCATAATTTGAAGTCAGGTAATGTAACTCCTTCAGATTTATTCTTTTTGCCTGGGATACCTTTGGCTATTCTGGGTCTTTTGTGGTTTCATATAAATTTTAGGATTTTTTTCTACTTCTGTGAAGAATGTCATTGGTATTTTGATAGGGATTGCATTAAATATATAGATTTCTTTTGGTAGTATGAACATTTTAACAATATTGATTCCTCCAATCTATGAACATGGAATGTCTTTCCATTTTTTGTGTCCTTTTCAATGTCTTTTATCATTGATTCATAGTTTCTATTATAGAGGTATTTCACTTCTTTGGTTGTTAGTTCTTAGGTATTTAATTTTGTGTGTGGCTATTGTAAAAGGGATTACTGTTTTTATTTATTTTTCATATTGTTCACTGTTGGCATATAGAAATGCTACTGATTTTTGTATTTTGATTTTGTATCCTGCAACTTTACTGAATTTATCAGTTCTAATAGTTTTCTTGTGGAGTCTTTAGGTTTTTCCAAGTATAAAATTATATCATCTGCAAACAAAGATAATCTGAGTTCTTCCTTTCTAGGTTGAATGCATTTCTTATCTTTCTCTTCTCTGATTGCTCTAGCTAGGAGTTCCAGTACAATGTTGCATAACACTGGCAACAGTGGGCATCCTTGTCATGTTCCAGATCTTAGAGAAATGACTTTTAGTTTTTCCCCATTCATTATGATACTAGCTGTGCATCTATTTTACATGACTTTTATTATGTTGAGGTATGTACCTTCTATTCCACTTTTTGAGGATTTTTATCATGAAGAAATTTTGAATTTTATCAAATGACTTCATTCTGTTGCTATAATGTATCACATTTATTGATTTACATATGTTGAACCATCCTTGCATCTCAGAGATAAATCCTACTTGCTCATGGTGAATGATCTTTCTAATGTATTGTTGAATTTGTTTGCTAACACTTTGTTGAGAATTTTTGTATCAATGTTCATCAAAGATATGGACCTGTAGTTTTTATTTTTTGATGTGTATTTGGCTGACTGTGCTATCAGGGTAATACTGGCCTTGTAGAATGAGTGTAGAAGTATTCTCTCCTCCTCTGTTTTGGAATTATTTGAGTAGGATTGTTATTAATTCCCTTTAAATGTTTGGTAGAATTCAGCAGTGAAGCCATCAGATCCTGGGCCCTTTTTTAAATTATGGTTTCAATCTCATTACTTGTTATTGATCTGTTCAGGTTTTGGATTTTTTCCTAGTTCAATCTTGGTAGGTCGTATGTATCTAGGACTTTGTCCATTTCTTCTAAATTTTCCAATTTATTGGCATATACTTGCTCCTGGTAGCCACTAATGATCCTTTGAATTTCCACTGAATTAGTTACAATGTCTCATTTTCATTTCTGATTTTATTTATTTGAATCTTCTCTCTTTTTTTTTAGGCTGGCTAAAGGCTTGTTAATTTTGTTTAATATTTCAAAAAAATCTTTTTTTCATTGATCTTTTTGATTTTATTTTATTGCAATTTCATTTATGCCTGCTCTGACCTTTATGATTGCTTTTCTTCTTATAATTTTGAGTTTGGTTGGCTCTTGCTTTTATAATTCTTTAACATGCATCTTTAATTGTACATTTAAAGTTTTTTCTTATTTTTGATGTAGGCAAGTACAGCTATAAATTTGATGTAGGCACTTACAGCTATAAATTTCCCTCTTGGTATGGCTTTTGCTGTATCCCAAAAGTTTTTCTATATTTAAAAACATTTTTATTACTTTTTAATTTTTTGTGGGTACATAGTAGGTGTGTATATTTTGGGAGTACATGAGATCTTTTGGTACAGATATGCAATGTGAAATAAGCACATAATAGAGAATGGGATATCTATCCCCTCAAGCATTTATCCTTTGAGTTACAATCCAATTACATTTTTAAAGTTATTTTAAAATACACAAATATATCATTTTAGACTATAGTCACTCTACTCTGCTATCAAATAGTAGGTCTTATTCACTCTCTTTTTTTGTACCCATTAATCATCCCCAACTACCCCTAACTCCCCCACTATACTTCTCAGCCTCTGGTAGTCATTCTTCTGCTAAGTCTCTGAATTTAAATGACTGAGTTATCCATTCATCTATTGATGAACACTTAAGCTGCTTCCAAATCTTAGCTATTGTAAACATTGTTGCAACAAACATAGGAGTGCAGATATCTCTTTGATATACTTATTTTCTTTTGTTTGGGTATATACCCAGCAGTAGGATTGCTGGATCATATGGTAGCTCTATTTTTAGTTTTATGGCAGACCTCCAAACTGTTCTCTACGGCGAGTGTACTAATTTACATTTCTACCAACAATGTACCTTTTCTACACCTCCTCGCCAGCATTTGTTATTGCCTGTCATTTGGATATAAGCCATTTTTAACTAGGGTGAGATATCTCACTGTAGTTTTGTTTTGCACTTCTCTGGTGATCAATGATGTTAAGCAGCTTTTCATATGCCTGTTTGTTATTTGTAGGTGTTCTTTTGAGAAATGTTTATTCAAATCTTTTGCCCATTTTTTGATTGGGTTATTCTATTTTTTCCTGTGGAGTTGTTTAAGCTGATTATATATTCTGGTGATTAATCCCTCGTCAGAGTGGTAGTTTGGAAATATTTTCTCCCGTTCTCTGGGTTGTCTCTTCACTGTTTATTGTATTTTTCTACTGTGCAGGAGCTTTTTAATTTGATATAATTCAATTTTTACTTCTTTGATATCAATGATATTAAGCACCTTTTCATATGCCTGTTTGTTAGTTGTATGTGTTCTTTTGAGAAATGTCTATTAAACTCTTTTGCCCATTTTTTGATTGGGTTATTCCATTTTTTCCTGTGAAGTTGTTTAAGCTGCTTATATATTCTGATGACTAATCCCTCGTCAGAGTGGTAGTTTGGAAATATTTTCTCCCATTCTGTGGGTTGTCTCTTCACTGTTGATTGTAATTTTTTTTTTTTTTTTTTTTTTTTTGCTGTGCAGAAGCTTTTTAACTCGATATAATCCAGTTTGTCCATGTTTGCTTTGGTTGCCTGTGCTTGTGGGGTATTGCTCAAGAAATCCTTGCCCAGATCTGTGTCCTGCAGATTTCTCCCAATGTTCCATTGTAGTAGTTTCAAAGTTTGAGGTCTTATATTTAAGTCTTTTATCCATTTTGATATGGGTTTTGTATATGGTGAGAGATAGGGGTCTGATATTATTTTATTTTCTCATAGTAGTTTCATAGTTTGAGGTCTTAGATTTAAGACCTTTAGTCCATTTTGATATAATTTTTGTATATGGCAAGAGATGGGGGTCTAGTTTCATTCTTTTGCACATGGATATCCAGTTTTCCCAGCACCATTTATTGAAGAAACTGTCTTCTCCCCAGTGTAGGTTCTTATCACCTTTATCAAAAATAAGTTTACTGTAAGCATGTGGATTTGTTTCTAGGTTCTCTGTTCTGTTCCATTGGTCTATGATATGGTTTGATTCTATGTCCCGACCAAAATCTCATGTCAAATTGTAATTCTCAATGTTGGGGGAGAGACCTAGTGGGAGGAAATTTGATCATGGGGGTGGATTTCCCCCTTGCTGTTCTCATAGTAGTCACTGAGTTCTCACAATATCTGGTTGTTTAACAGTGTGTACCACTTCTCCCTTTCCTCTCTTTCTCCTTCTCTGCCATGTGAAGATTCTGCCTGCTTCCCTTTTGCCTTCTGCCATGATGGTAAGTTTCCTGAGACCTCCCCAGGCATTCCTCCTGTACAGCCTGTGAAAATGTGAGTCAATTAAACCTCTTTTCTCCATAAATTACCCACTTTCAGTTATGTCTTTATAGTACTGTGAGAAAGAACAAATACAGAAAATTGATACCTAGAGTGGGGTGTTACTATAAAAATACATGAAACTGTGGAAGCAACTTTGGAACTGGGTAATGGGCAGAGGTTGGAACAGTTTGGAAGGCTCAGAAGAAGACAGGGAAATGTGGGCAAGTTTGGAACTTCCTAGAGACTTGTTGAATGCTTGTAACCAAAATGCTAATAGTAATATGGACAATGAAGTCCAGGCTGAGGTGGTCTGAGATGGAGATGAGGAACTTATTAGGAACTGGAGTAAAGGTCACTCTTGCTATGCTTCAGTGAAGAGACTGGTTGCATTGTGCCCCTGCTCTAGAGATCTGTAAAACATTGAACTTGAGAGAGATAATTTAGTGTATCTGGTGGAAGAAACTTATAAGCAGCAAAGTGTTCAGGATGTTGCCTGGCTGCTTCTAAAAGCCTATTCTCATTTGCACAAATAAACGACCTAAAACTGAAACTTCTATTTAAAAAAAAAAAACAGCAGAGCATGAAAGTGGACAAATTGTAGACGGACTGTGTAGTGGAAAAGAAAAACCCATTTTCTGTGGAGAAATTAAAGCCAGCTGCAGAAATGTGCATAAGTAAAGAAGAGCCAAGACAATGGGGAAAATGTCTCCAGGGCATTTTAGAGACCTTCATGGAAGCCCTTCTCATCACAGGCCTGGAGGCCTAGGAGGGAAAAATGGTTTTGTTGGCCAGACCCAGGGCTCCACTGCTCTGTGAAGCCTTGGGACATGGTGCCGTGTGTTCCAGCTGCTTCAACTTTAGCCATGGCTAAAAGGGGCCAAAGTGCAACTTGGACCATTGCTTCAGAAGATGCAAGCCCCAAGCCTTGGTGGCTTCCATGTGGTGTTGGGCCTGCAGGTGCACAGAAGGCAAGAGTTGAAGTTTGGGAGCCTCCACCTAGATTTCAAAGGATGTATGGAAATGCCTGATGCTGGATGTCCAAGCAGAAGTCTGCTGCAGGGGCAGAGCCCTCATGGAGAACCTCTACTATGGCAGTGCAGAGGAGAAATGTAGGGTTGGAGCCCCCACAGAGTCCCCACTGTGGCACTGCCTAGTGGATCTGTGAGAATAGGGCTACCATCCTCCAGACCCCAGAATGGTAGATCCACCTACAGCTTACACTGTATGCCTGGAAAAGCCACAGACACTCAATGCCAGCCTGTGAAAGCAGCTGTGGGGTGCTTTACCCTGCAGAGCCAAAGGGGCAGAGCTGCCCAAGGCCTTAGGAGCCCATCCCTTACATTAGTGTGTCCTGGATGTGATACATGGAGTCAAAGGAGATTATTTTAGAGATTTAAGATTTAATGACAGCCTTATGAGTTTTGGACTTGCATGGTGCCTGTAGACCCATTGTTTTGGCTGATTTATCCCTCTTGGAATAGGTCTATTTACCCAATGCCTGTACCTCCTTTTTATCCTGGAAGTAACTAATTTGTTTTTTGTTTTATAGGTTCAAAGTTGGAAGGGACTTGCCTTATCTCAGATGAGACTTTGGATTTAGACTTTAGAGTTAATGCTGGAATAAGTTAAGGCTTTGGTGGACTGTTGGGAAGGCATGATTGTGTTTTGAAATGTGATAAGAACATGAGATATGGCAGAGGCCAGGGGCATAATGATATGGTTTGGCTCTGTGTTCCTACCCAAGTCTCATGCCAAATTGTAACTCCCAATGTTGGGGGAGGGACCTAGTGGGAGGTGATTGGATCATGGAGGTGGATTTCTCCCTTTCTGTATTCATAATAGTGAGTGAGTTTTCACAAGATCTGGTTGTTTAAAAGTTTGTAGCACTTCCCCATTTGTTCTCTCTCTCTCCTGCTCTTCCATGTGAAGATTGTGCCTGCTTCCCCTTTGCCTTCTACCATAACTGTGATTTTCATGATACCTCCCCAGCCATGCCTCCTGTACATCCTGTGGAACTGTGAGTCAATTAAACCTCTTTTCTTTATAAATTACCCAGTCTCAGGAATGTCTTTATAGTAGTGTGAGAATGACTAATACAGTCTGTGTCTGTTTTTATGACAGTTGCTCTTTGGTTACTATAGCTCTGTAGTATAATTTGAAGTCAGGTAATAGTTTTAGTATATTGTACTTCCATAATAATTTGTTTTAAGAAAATTTTCAATTTCTTTCTTAATTTATTCATTGACATTGTCATTCAGGAGCATATTGCTTATTTTCCATGTATCTCTGATTTCCAAAATTCCTCATTATTAATTTTTAGTTTTACTCCATTGTGGTCAGAAAAGATGCTTGATATTATTTCAATTTTTTTTAAATTTTAAGACTTGTTTGGTAACCTAATATATGGTCTATCCTAGAGAATGATGCATGTGCTGAGGAAAAGGATGTGTATTCTGCAGCTGTTGGATGGGAGTGTTCTGTGAATATCTATTACATCTATTTGTTCTACAGTGCAGATTAACGCTGATGTTTCTTTGTTGATTTTCTGTGTGAGAGACCTATCTAATGCTGAAAGTGGAATGTTGAACTCTTAAGCTATTATTTTATTGGGACCTTTCTCACTCTTTATCTCTAATAATATTTCTCTTATCTATCTGTGTGCTCCAATGTTGGGTGCATATATGTTAAAAATTGTTATATCCTCTTGCTGAATCAACACCTTTATTATTATATAGTGACCTTTTCCCTTTCTTATAATTCTTGTCTTGAAATCTATTTTGTCTGATATAAGTTTAGTGACTCCTGCTATTTTTTGGTTTCCATTAGCATGGAATGTTTTTTCCATTCCTTTATTTTCAATCTACATGTGTCTTTATAGGTGGAGCATGTTTCTTTTAACCAACAGATCAATGAGTCTTGTTTTGTTATTCATTCAGCCAATCTATGTCTTTTGATTGGAGAGTTTAGTTCCTTTGCTTTCAATGTTATTATTAAGCAAGTACTTAATCCCGCCATTTTCTTATTTGTTTTCTGGTTGTTTAATTTTTTTCCTCTTTCTCTCCTTCTTGTCTTCCTCTAGTGAAAATAACTTTTTCTGGTGATGTAATTTAGTTTCTTTATTTTTAATTTTTTTTCATATCCGTTGTATGCTGTTTGGTTTGAGGTCACCATGAGAATTGTAAATGCTATTTTATAACGTATTATTTTAATGTGATAAAAGCTTAACACTATTTTCATAAACAAATAAAGATGCAAGAAGAAAACTAACAAAAACTCTACACCTTATCTTTATCCCCCCCACTTTTTAACTTTCTGTTGTTTCTATTTATATCTTATTGTACTGACTGTGTCTTTGAAAGCTGTTGTAGTTATTAATTTTGATTGGTTTATTATTTAGTCTTCTACTTAGGATAAGAATATTTAAACATCAGAGTTACAGTATTATAATATTCTCTGTTTTCTATCTACTGTACCTTCAGGTGATAATTTATTGATCATTAATGACCTTTTCTTTCTCATTAAATTACTCACTTTAGATTTCTTGTAGGACAGTTCTTATATTGATTAAATCCCTCAGCTTTTGTTTTTCTGGGGAAGTCTTTTTCTCCTTCATATTTGAAAGATATTTTCTTTGGATACACTAATCTAAGGTAAAAGATTTTTTCCTTCAGTTCTTTACATATATCATGCCACTCTCTCCTGGCCTGTAAAGTTTCCACTGAAAAGTCTTCTGCCAGACATATTCAAGCTCCATTGTATGTTAGTTCTTTATTTTCACTTGCTTCTTTTTAGATCCTTTCTTTCTTCTTGATTTTTAGGAGTTTGATTATTAAATGTTTGCAGTAGACTTCTTTGGGTTAAAACTGCTTGCTGTTCTATAACCTTGTATTTAGATACTAATATCTTTCTCTAGGTTTGGGGGGTTCTCTGTTATTGTCCTCTTGAATAAACTTTCCACCCTTATCTTTTTCTCTACCTTCTCTTTAAGGCTAATAAATCTTAGCTCTGCCCTTTTGAAGCTATTCTCTATATGCTGTATGTATGCTTCCTTGTTTTCTATTCTTTTTCTATTTTTCTCCTCAGATTATGTATTTTTAAACAGCCTGTCTTCAGGTTCATAAATTCTTTTTTTCTGCTTGATCAATTCTGCTATTAAATGACTGTTACATTCTTTAATAGGCCAATTTCATTTTTTAGCTCCATAATTTCTGCTTGATTCTTTTTCATTATTTCACTCTCTCTGTTAAATTTATCTGAGAGAATTCTAAATTCCTTCTCCGTGTTATTTTGAATTACTTTGAGTTTCCTCAACATAGCCATTTTGAACATATCTCTGTTTCTCCAGGATTGGTTCCTAGTGATTTATTTAGCTTAATTGGTGAGATCATGTTTTTCTAAATGGCATTGATGCTAGTAGATTTTCTTCAGTGTCTGGGTGTTAAAGAGAAGTCATTATTGTAGTCTTCACTGTGCGGGCTTGTTTGTACCATCCTTCTTGGGTCAGCTTTTTAGATATTTGAAAGGACTTGGGTGTTATGATCTAAGCTATATTTGCTTTAGGGGGCAACAGTACTGCAAGAACGGTAATGCTGTGGTTCTTGCAGAGTCATAGAGATACCACCTTGATGGTCTTGGATCAGATCTGGGAGAATTTTCTGGATTACCAGACAGAGACCCTTGTTCTCTTCTGTTAGTTTCTTCCAAGCATACAGAGTCAGTCTCTCTCTCTCTATCTCTTTCTCTCTGTTCTGAGCCACCTAAAGCTGGGGGTGGAGTGACAGAGGCACCCTTGTGGCCATCACCACTGTGACTGCACTGGGTCAGACCTGAAGCCAGCATAGTGCTGGGTCTCACCCAAGGCAGGCTGTAACAATTCCCTGGTTGCTGCCTTTGTCTGCTCAAGGCCCTGGGGCTCCATAATCCACAGCTGGCAAAGCCAGCTAGGCTTGTGTTTTTTCTTCAGGGCATCAAGTTCCCCCAGTTCCTGGGTGTGTCCAGTAATGCCATCCAGGAGTCAGGGATTAGAGTCAAAAGCCCTAGACATTTCCTTCACATTGTAATATATTGCAGCTGAGCTGACACTCAAACCACAAGATTCATTCTTTCCCACTCTTTTCTCCCCTTTCCAAAGGCAGAGGAGCCTCACCCCATATCCACTGCCACCACAAGCCATAGGACTACTTTTAGCCTACCAGCCAACGTTCCTTTAAGGCCCAAGGTCTCTTAAGTCAGCTTATGGTGAATGCTGCCTGGCGTAAAACTCATCCTTCAGGGCAGTGGGTATCCCGCTGGGTCAGGGAAGGCCCAGGAATTCCATCCAAGAGTCAAGTCCTGGAATTGAGGACCCCAAGAGCCCACTTGGTGCTCTGATCCCCTGTGGCCATGCTGATCCCTAAGGTGTCAGACAAAGTCCCATTTACTTTTCTCTCTGCTCTTCTCAAGCAGATGGAATTTTGCCCCATAGCCACCACAGCTAGTAATGTGCTGAGTCTCACCTTAAGCCAGCAAGTCTCAGAGGCTCACCCAAGGCCCTCAATGTAGTACCTGGGTATTGCTGCTGGTTATTCAGGGTACAAGGTCTCTTCAGTTAGCAGGTGATGAATGCTTCCAGGACTGGCTCCTTTAGTTCAAGGCAGTGGGTTTTCTTCTGTCCCAAGGGGTGTCTAGAAATATCTGGGAGCTAGGTCCTGCAACAGGAGCCTTGAAATTCTGACTAGTGCCCTATCCTGCTGTGGCTGAGCTGATACCCAAGATGCAAAACGGCGTTCTCTGCACTACTCCCTCTCCTCTCCTCAAGTGAAAGTAAGAGGTCTATTTTGGAGCTACAGCTGTGAAGCCTGAGGTTAGGAGAGGAGTGATGCCAGCACTCCCTTGGCTTCCCCAGCTGGTGTCTCAGTATTTCACATGCCCCACCCCCACTCCACTATCTCTGGGCCTACTTCAGCACTAGGACTTGCCTAAGAGTTGCAGTCCTTATGGCCTAGACTGCCTTTCAAGAGTGCTCAGAGACACAGGATGCTATAGCCCTCGGTGGAGAAGTTTGCAGGCACTCAACTTCAGACCTCTGGGATCATATTGGTGATTCCCATCCAACTAGGGCTTGTTTAGGTGCTCCCTCCATGGGCAGGCTTCAGCTGAGTTTGGTCTGGTTTTCCTTTCTGCTCTAACAGGAAAGCACTGAGTTCAATGCCTCACAATTGCTGTCTTCTCCCTACCCCAGCGCCTACAGATGCTCTCTGCATAATGCTGCAGCTGCGGGTTGGGTTAAGAGTGACATTGGTAATTCAGGACTGTTTTTTTCTATCTCTTCAGTGCCTCTTTTAGTGATATTAAGTTAAAACCAGGTACTATAAGTGCTCGCCTGATTTTTGTTTTTTTCTGAAGGTTTGTGTGTGTGTGTGTGTGTGTGTGTGTAGATAGTTGTTAATTTGGTGTCCTTGCAGGCGGGTCAATGGGTGGCAAGACAAAGTCTATTCTGCCATCTTACTCCACCTTGTCTCCCCAGATGACTTTATTTTTTAATACTTACATCTGCTTTTTGTGATTTTATGACTTTTTTCTTCATTTCTCAAACCTCATTCATTGCTTATCTTGAGCATTCCTCATAACAACTTTTAATTTGGCATTATCAATTAGTTATAGGACTAAACCAGATACCCATACTTGACAAGAATTATGGCCCCTACTATGTTAAACAGAAGTGGTGAAAGTGGCCATCCTTGTCTCTTCCACTTCTCAGGGGGAATGCTTTCAACTTTTCCCATTCAGAATAATGTTAGCCGTGGGTTTTTCTCATAAATGGCTTTTATTACCTTGAGGTATGTCTCTTCTATGCCAAATTTGCTGAGGGTTTTAATGAAGAAATATTAATTTTGTCAAGGGCTTTTTCTGCATCTAGTAAGATGATCATAAAATTTTTGTTTTTAATTCTGTTTATGTAACATATCACACTTACTGACTTGTGTATGTTAAACCATCCCTACACCCCTGGTATGAAACCCACTTGATCATGGTGGATTATCTTTTTGATATGCTGTTGGATTTACTTAGCTAGTATTTTGCTGAGGATTTTTGCATCTATGTTTATCAGGGATATTGGTCTGTAGTTTTGTTGTTGTTGTTGTTATGTCCTTTCCTGATTTTAGTATTAGGGTGATACTGGCTTCATAAAATGATTTAGGGAGGATTCTCTCTTTCTCTATCTTTTGGAATACTTTTGGCAGGATTGACACCAATTCTCCTTTAAATGTCTGATAGAATTCAACTGTGAATCCATATGGTTCTGAAGTTTTTTTAGTTGGCATTTTTTAAATTAATATTTAAATCTCACTACTTGTTATTTGTCTGTTCAGAGTTTCTGTTTCTTTATTATTTAATCTAGGAGAGTTGTATATTTCCAGGAATTTATCTATATCCTCTAGATTTTCCAGTTTGTGTGCATATAGGTGTTCCTAGTAGCCTTAAATAATTTTTGTATTTCTGTGGTGTCAGTGGTAATATCTCCCATTTTGTATCTAATGGAGCTTATTTTGATCTTCTCTATTTTTTCTTGGTTAATCTTGCTAATGGTCTATCAATTTTGTTTATCTTTTCAAAGAACCAGCTTTTAGTCAGAGCAATCAGACAACAGAATGAAATAAAGGGCATCCAAATTGGTAAAGAAGAAGACAAACTGTCTCTGTTCACCAATGATATGAGTATATACCTAGAAAAACCTAAAGACTCATTTAAAATGCTCTTAGATCTGATAAATAAATTTAGTAAAGTTTCAGGATACAAAATTCAATGTACACAAATCAGTAGCACTGCTATACACCAACAATGACCAAGCTGAGAATCAAATCAAAAACTCAATCACTTTTACAACAGCCACAAAAAATAATAATAATAAAATATTTAGGAATATACCTAACCAAGGAGGTGAAAGATTTCTACAAGGAAAACTGCAAAACACCACTGAAAGAAACCATTTATGACACAAACAAATAGAAACGTATCCCATGCACATGAATAGGTAGAATCAATATTGTGAAAATGACCATACTGCCAAACGCAATCTACAGATTTAATGCAATTCCCACCAAAGTACCTACCATGATCATTCTTCACAGAACTAGAAAAAAAATCCAAAAATTCATATGGAACCAAAAAAGAGCCTGCACAGCCAAAGCAAGACTAAGTGAAAAGAACAAATCTGGAGGTATCACATTACCTGACTTCAAACTATACTACAAGGCTATAGTTACCAAAACAGCATGGTACTGCTATAAAAGTAGTCACATAGACCAAAGGAACAGAATATAAAACCCAGAAATAAAGCCAAATGCTTACAGCCAATTGATTTTTGTCAAAGCAAACAATAACATAAAGTAGGAAAAGGATACCCTGTTTAACAAATGGTGCTGGGATAATTGGCAAGCCACATGTAGAAGAATGAAAATGGATCCTCATCTCTCACCTTATACAAAAATCAACCCAAGATGAATTAACACTTAAATCTAAGACATGAAAACATAAAAATTCTAGAAGATAACATTTGAAAAGTACTTCTAGACATGGCCTTAGGCAAAGAGTTCATGAGCAAGAATCCAAAAGCAAATGCAACAAAAACTAATATAAATAGATGGGACCTAATTAAACTAAAAAGCTTCTACACAGCAAAAGAAATAATTAGAAGAGTAAACAGAAAACCCACAGAATGGGAGAAAATATTTGCAAACTGTACATCAGACAAAGGGCTAATATCCAGACTCTACAAGGAACTCAAATCAGCAGAAAAAAATAAATAATAATCCCATCACAATGAGGGCAAAAACATGAATAGACAATTCTTAAAAGATGTACAAATGGCCAACAAACATATGAAAAAAATGCTCAACATCACTAAGTATCAGGAAAATGCAAATTAAAACCACAATGAGTTACCATCTTGTTTTGGCAAAAATGGCCATAATCAAAAAATCAAAAAACAATAGATGTTAACGTGGATGTGGTGAAAAGGGAACACTTCTACACTGCTGGTGGAAATGTAAACTAGTACAACCACTATGGAAAACAGTATGGAGATTGCTTAAAGAACTAAAAGTAGAACTACCATTTGATCCAGCAATCCCACTACTGTGTATTTACCCAGAGAAAAAGAAGTCATTATACAAAAAAGACACTTACATACACATGTTTAGAGCAGCACAATTCACAATTGCAAAAATATGGAACCATCCTAAATGCCTATCAACCAACAATTATATAAAAAACATGTGGTCTATGTACACCATGGAATACTACTCAGCCATAAAAAGGAATGAAATAATGGCATTCACAGCAACCTGGATGGAGTTGGAAACCATTATTCTGTGTGAAGTAACTCAGGAATGGAAAACCAAATATTGTTTGTTCTCACTTATAAGCAGGAGCTAAGCTATGAGGATGCAAAGGCATAAGAATGACATAATGGACTTTGAGGACTTCAGGGGAAGAAGGGGGCTGAAGGATAAAAGATTACACATTGGGTACAGTGAACACTGCTCACGTAACAAGTGCACCAAAATCTCAGAAATTACCACTAAAGAAGTTATTCATATAACCAAAACCAACCTATTCCCCAAAAACTATTGAATAAAGTAAAATAAAATAGATGAAATAAAATAATTATGGCTCCTGCAAATTTCTCAGATCTTATCTACTTCTACTCTCTCCACAAGGCCCCGTGTTCTTGTCAAATTTTCAAATAGACTCATATATACATACACATACAAATATATATTTCATATATGTATAATCCATATACATATCTCCATGTATTGTTACCCACTTGGCCTGGAATGCTTCCTATCCTCTGCCTGACTAATGTTTCCTTTTTCAAGACTCTGATACAGCATCACCTCCTTCAAGAACTAGGCCCTGATCATTCTGAGCTAAGTGCCTCATCTCTGCAGCCACAGCACTATATTTTAACATTCTCTACACTACTATAATTGTCTACTCAAATGACTGTTTCCCACTCTGAACTGTGAGCTCCTAGACAACAAGGACCTGGTGCAGTGTTCTACATGTAATAACCAGAGGAACCTAAGAGTGTTTCTATATTCGAGGTGCATATGTTTCAGTACATTGCATTTGTCTATCCATCTTTTCTTGATGTTATGTCCTAAGGCTATTGTAATTTCAGGACTATGCCAGAAGCTAAACATAGAATAATGACAATGGAAGTGGTATGAAAAGAGAGGTGAATCAGAAAACTATTAAGATATTATCTGCTGGAAACTTTTTACTTCTTTCCTAAGTCTTGTGTGTATACTGGAGGGGTAACATTGCTAAACAGTTGAGTTAGGGAAGTTAGAATCTGTCTGATATTACACTTAAGCTTGTGGGAAAGAGCTTGTATCATATTCCCAATTGAAAATGAAAGAGATTAAAAATATAGTTAATAGAGTAGTGAGAATTGAAAGCAATGATTTGGTAACTACATAAAGGGATAGCTGAGATTATGAAAGCTGATAGATCCTTGAGGGAGAAGAGAAAACTGGATATTGAACTTTAGGAGAATACCAACAGTTAGTCAGCAATGAAGGTAAAAAGCAATCAGAGACAGAAAAAAAATGAGAGAATAACGTGGCACAGAAAGCCAAGAAATTTTGCAAGACTTCCGGTATTTAAATATTATATAATCTTGATTAAGGTAAAAGGGCCAGTGGCAGCATTCCAGCTTCCTCTCAGCACCATTTCCAAGAAATGTCAGCTTACCAGAAACACTTAATAAATTGTTTCTTGTTTTGAATGGTTAAAAGACAATAGCAAAGCCTTAACAGATTCAATTGCTTATTTATAAGATGTCTGAAAGACCACAGTGTGGGGTGAGGGAAGCTCCATTTGTCAGGTAGCAGAAGCACTTCTAAACTTGGTGGAGTTCTTAGAACACAGTTAAACACCAGGCATCTGAAGGAGTTTTCAACAAATATGAAAAAAGCTCTGCTGCAGTTTCTCAATAGCCTGCCTACCCTTTCACCCAGTAGTACATCCAAAGAGCATTCATTTGGCATAGAATCTAAAAGCACCACAGAGATTAAAACAGTTATTAAATAATTTTACCTAGTCTCCACATGTCTTAATCCTCAGAAACAGAAAAATGCTGAAAAACATTTCCCAAATAAAATTTTGGCATGTACCTCTGGTGTAAAATACAATCTAGATTTCTCTGCCAATCTAGGCTACATGGAGATTTCTGCATTTTGAGTAGATAATGCATTGCCAAGAGAAGTTGGGTATTTGGTACACAAGTCTACAGTAAGCAACCTGTTTAACCATATAGACTGCTCTCCAATATTTTTCACCCTGATGATTTTTCAAGGATGCCCTTATGTATATTATTATTCACCCATCAAGGCATCTGGGCCAATAGCTTAAAAACATGGTCAAAGATGGGCCAGGCGTGGTGGCTCATGCCTGTAATCCCAGCACTTTGGGAGCCCAGATCACGAGGTCGGGAGATCGAGACCATCCTGGCTAACACAGTGAAACCCTGTCTCTACTAAAAATACAAAAAATTAGCAAGACGTGGTGGCGGGCGCCTGTAGTCCCAGCTACTCAGGAGGCTGAGGCAGGAGAATGGTGTGAACCCAGGAGGCGGAGCTTGCAGTGAGCCAAGATTGCACCACTGCACTCCAGCCTGGACGACAGAGCGAGACTCCGGCTCAAAAAAAAAAAAAAAAATCCGTCCAGGCGCGGTGACTCAGGCCTGTAATCCCAGCACTTTGGGAGGCCGAGGCAGGCGGATCACAAGGTCAGGAGATGGAGACCATCCTGGCTAACATGGTGAAACTCTGTCTCTACTAAAAATACAACAACAACAAAAAATTAGCCGGGCGTGGTGGTGGGCGCCTGTAGTCCCAGCTACTCGGGGAGGCTGAGGCAGGAGAATGGCGTGAACCCGGGAGGCAGAGCTTGCAGTGAGCGGAGATAGCGCCACTGCACTCCAGCCTGGGCGACAGAGCGAGACTCTGTCTCAAAAAAAAAAAAAAAAAATGGCGAAAGATACACTTATTCTCTTTACCTTCTTTTGGGCATATTTTGACATATTATACTTCTTCTAGGCATGTTATTTACATGCTCCTACTACCTTAGGACCTAGGTAATTTCAATTGCTGTAGTATGGTGTTAAAGATACAAGAATTTTCTCAAACTGGATGGTTGCTTCTATAACCATTGACACTCTAACTTCAGTCAACTATCCTCCAAGTATGAGTCATAAATCACAAAAAGGTCATAGTATAAGTCATCCCCACAACTGAAGAACAACCTTAAAAATGTAGCCTACTGATGAAGAGTCAGAAATACCGTCTTTGTATACTGGGGGTAGAATATTAATCTAGAATTCCCATATATATCATGGTTTCCCTTCTCGAATGCCAACCTGGTTGTGATTTTGGTCCAGGAAGACATAACAGGAGTGCCATTTTAGTTTTCTCTACTGATTGTCCGTACACTTGGCTCCCCTGTACTCTTTGATTTATTTAAATAGTTGCTCAGCATGGCTTAATAGGCTCCCTAATTCTATTGTCGTCATCCAGATATGTGGGAATTTTGTCTATGGCCACAGGCTAAGGAGTATGGCAATTGTCTTTGGTTCTCATAGTAACACAAGACAACAACAATCTTGGACCAAAATTTGTTCCCATAATTGATCCATATTTATTTATAGGAAAACAGATACATACAACATATCAGTATACTGATGTTGATTTCAGCATTATGTATAATATTGGAAAGAGTCTAACTGTTCAACAGTATAGGACTGTTTAAATAAATGGTGCTATATCTATAGAATAAAATAATAGATCACTATAACATTATATTGTTATGAAGCATTATTTGCAATATCTAAAGATTGAAAATAATGGTCTGCAACTATAAGACTATTTAAATAAGTTATGATACATTTATACAATGGAATAAACAAAACATAAAAATAGATGAGAAAGCCCTCTAGGTATTACTATAAAAAAGATCTATAAGATACATTGTGGCATGAAGAAAAAAATGTGCAAGACATCATATTTAGAATGCTACATTTTGTTTTAAAAGAGGATATACAATTAAAATATAATTTTATACTTGCTTTTATTTAAATTTTTTAAACTGTGAAAATATGCACAAAAGATCTAAGTAACGTACTTATCTGTGGAAGAGCAAAGAATTGGAAGCTGAATGAATAAGGAACAGTGATAAGAAAAAGAAACACATGTCACTATTAGCCTTTTTATGTCATTTGACTTCTAACTATGTGACTCTATTTTATATTCAAAATATTAAATAAAAAATTATTATAGGAAAACAGCCTGTTGCATGGCAAGAGTAATGCCATCTTGAAATGAAACTAACATAATGACTAATGTTTGACTCCTACATACCAAGGCATTTTCACAGCAAGATCAAGAAAAAATACTGTAGCATAAATAACCCCTCATAAAGATGCTTATCTAACTTCCTCATGGTTCACAAGTTTCACAAGAAGGTCTGAGACATAACCAGCTGCACACATTTTACCAAGAAAAAAAGAGTTTGCTATATAAATACTTTCTAGAAGGCAGATGCAGAGATAAATTTTCTTTTGGCCACCAGAGGCATTGCTTCTGTTCCTGAGTCCCTATTAAAATGTTTCTTTCTGAGAAACTGGATTTGTAAAGCCTCTTTCTTTAACCTCTCAGCTCCCTCAGACCTTGGGTGTAAGCTTGCATGTATTTGCTCACCACAAGTGAGCTAGCCAGTAGCCAAGAGACCAAGAAATGGACAAAGGGTATGAAGCATCTGTGAGAGAAATTCCAGGGTAACCAGCCATTTCTATGTGAAATGAATGTTCATAAATGTCTAGGCATTGAGGAGTTCAGTATTTATTGTAATTTTCACCATCTGGGCTTGTTTTTACCTGTCCTTCTTGGGAAGGCTTTCCAAGTATTCAAAGGGAGTTGAGTGTTGTGATTTAGGGATTGAGTGTTCTGATCTAAGTCTTTGATCATTGCAGCCATATCTGCATTAGGGGGCACCCCCAAAATAATGCCATTACTTTTTCAGACTCATAGCGGTACTGTTTTGGTGGTCTTTGGTAAGATCTGGAGGAATTCCCTGGAGATCCTCAATAGCTGCACTTATTTCAACATGCCCCTCAGGCAATTTGTATCATTTAAGGTTGACAACCCACCTAGGGGCAGGAGATTGTGCAGTTTTCCATTTTACCTCTCCCCTGGGAATAGCCTTTACTACTACACACACCTTTGATCTGAATTCTCCTACTGAAGTTTTCAAAGTCTTTCCTAACAGAATATCCATGCCTAAAATATTGTCTGGAATGGGGGAAATAAACATTATATATGGAGTAAGGGCATCTTTCTCAATACCTAGATGTTTTAAAATTCTTTTACCTGGATTGTTTGTTCCCCATAACCATCAATGGCTGCCTATTGACCAGAGTGTCTTTCTGGATTTCCATGGGTTAAAGTACATTCTCCCTAGTATCTACTAAAGCAGTAGTCTTCTCCTTATATGGAGGACACCAGTTAAAAATCACTCTAAACTCACTGGTGTATTTGGGGCATCCCTGTACTCATGCAGTAGTCCACAAGCACCTTATCCTCCTGATAAATCTTTATTAGGTCAAATCTTCCTCATAACTGCAGAACGAGCATCCACATGTATCAAGACCACCCAAGAAAACATGACCTCACCAAAGAAACTAACTAGGCACCAGTGACCAGTTGTGGAGTGAATAGAAATATGTGAACTCTCAGAGAGAGAATTCAAAATAGCTGTTTTGAGGAAGCTCAGTGAAATTTAAGATAACACAGAGAAGTAATTCAGAATCCTATGAGATATATTTTTAAGAGATTAAAATATTTTTTAAACCAAGTAGAAATACTAGAGCTGAAAAATTTAATTGACATTCTGAAGAATGTACCAGAGCCTCTCAACAAGCAGAAATGATCAAGCAGAAGAAAGAATTAGTGAGCTCTAACACAGGCTAGTTGAAAATACACAGTGAGAGGAGGCAAAAGAAAAAAACACTGGAAACAACCCAGATGTCTTTTAGCTGGTAAATGGATTAAACAAACTCTGACTATCTATACAATGAAGTAATATAGAAAAATAAAAAGAATTCACTACTGAACTATGCAGCAACATGGATGTATCTTAAAATATTTATATTGAGTAAAAAAGCTACAGTAAAAGACTACAAACTTACTTTATGATTCTATTGTCATTCTGGAAAAGGAAGAACTGTATTGACAGAAAATATCAGTGACTGCCAGAAGCTGGGACTAGGAGCAGCACAAGGGAAGCCAAGGAGAAGGAGATGATGGGATTATTCCATATGTTGATTTTGGTGATATTTACATAATTATATGATTTTAAAAACACATAGCACTCACAGAACTTTGTGATAATATATAGCCTGTAAATTATGCCTCAAATTAAAATTTTAAAATGTTAAAATGAAATTAAGATGTTAAAATGAAATTAAAATTTTAAAATATTCAAAATCCAAATATCTGACCTTGGCATTTTGGTTACACTAAATGCTAACTTTGGCAATGAGACTACTGCCTTAGTAGATACTGGGGAGAATGTACTTTAACCCATGGAAATCCAGAAAGACACTCTGGTCAATAGGCCACCATTGACGGTTATGGGGAACAAACAATCTAGGTAAAAGAGCTTTAAAACATGTAACCAAAATGCCAAGTTAGATGTTTGGAATTTGAATATTACAAAAACAAAAGAATGCCACACCTAAGTTGACAAGGTAAATCTTAAATAGAGAGGTTGGTTTTTAATTCTTTGCTTCATTATTCAAGTCAAGCCAAATCTTATACATAAGTATTTATTTTTTGTTTAGTCCTCCCTTACTTTTCCCTTCATTCAAATTGAGCTATCTCTAATTTCCATGACCACCCAGACAGAAATAAACACATACACATGCAGGTACATACACACACACACACACACACACACACACACACACACACCCTCCCTGAGCTTCAGATTCAGTACATAGCAGAGTATCTTGCTCACAGTAGATATTAAATGTTCTTGGTGGTTGATTCTAGGCCCCACTAACCTTTCTATCCTTTGCTTACAGAACAGTATGATGCATCCTGACTATTCCTGGTCCTATTTTTGTTTGTAAACACACTGCCTCTCTCTACTTTCTCTCCAAACCAGGAGATATTCTTACCCCCACTCCTTTGCTCGAAATATTTATTACCCATTATGAAGATGTCTAAATTCCAAATCAGCATATATCCAAGGAAACTGCATAAGAATATTGCCTAGGAAAATACGAAAGAAAAAAGAAAGTATTTCCCCTACTACAGCAAATGAGGTAAAGGTTTAGTTGTCAATGTTTGTTTGTTTTTATTTCATTTGTTTTGTTATACCTCTATGGCTTCCTGTGAACTAGACAGCAGTTGTGGGCATACCTGATGGAGCTGAAAAACACAGCATGGGAAGTTCATGAAGCATACAGAAGTATTAATAGCCAAATCAATCAAGTGGAAGAAAGGATCTCAGAGATTGAAGATCAACTTAATGAAATAAAGCATGAAGACAAGATTAGAGAAAAAAGAGTGAAAAGGAATGAACAAAGCCTCCAAGAAATATGGGACTACGTGAAAACACAAAACCTATGTTTGATTGGTGTACCTGAAAGTGACAAGGAGAATGGAACCCAGTTAGAAAACACACATCAGGATATTATCCAGGAGAACTTCCCCAACCTAGCAAGACAGGCAAACATTCAAATTCAGGAAATACAGAGACAATGACAAAGATACTCCTCAAGAAGAGCAACCCCAAGACACATAATCGTCAGATTTGCCAAGGTTGAAATGTAGGAAAAAATGTTAAGGGCAGCCAGAGAGAAAGGTCGGGTTACCCCCAGAAGGAAGCACATCAGACTAACAGCAGATCTCTCTGCAGAAACCCTACAAGCCAGAAGAGAGTGGGGACCAATATTTAACATTCTTAAAGAAAAGAATTTTGAACCCAGAATTTTATATCCAGCCAAACTAAGATTTATGTGAAGGAGAAATAAAATCCTCTACAGACAAGCAAATGCTGAGGGATTTTGTCACCACCAGGCCTGCCTTACAAGAGGTCCTGAAGGAAGCACTAAATATGGAAAAAAAAAAAAAAAACCGGTACCAGCCACTGCAAAAACAATCCAAAATATAAAGACTATCGACACTATGAAGAAACTGCATCTACTAATGGACAAAATAAACAGCTAGCATTATAATGACAGAATCAAATTCACACATAACAATATTAACCTAAAATGTAAATGAGCTAAATGTCCCAATTAAAAGACACAGACTGGCAAATTGGATTAAGAGTCAAGACCCACCAGTGTGCTGTATTCAAGAGACATTATCTCACATGCAAAGACACACATAGGCTCAAAATAAAGGGATGGAGAAAGATTTACCAACCAAATGGAAAGCAAAAAAAGCAGGGGTTGCAACCCTAGTCTCTGATAAACAGAATTTAAACAAAGTTCAAAAAAGACAAAGAAGGGCATTACATAAGGGTAAAGGGATCAATGCAACAAGAAGAGCTAACTATCCTAAACATATATGCACCTAATACAGGAGCACCCAGATTCATAACAAGTTCTTAGAGACCTACAAAAAGATTTAGACTCCCACACAATAATAGTGGGAGACATTAACACCCCACTGTTAATATTAGAAAGATCAATGAGACAGAAAATTAATAAGTCTATTCGGGGCTCAAACTCAGCTCTGGATGAAGTGGACCTAATAGACATCTATAGAACTCTCCACCCCAAATCAACAGAATACACATTCCTCTCAGCCCCACATCACACTTATTCTAAAATCAACCACATAACTGGAGGTAAAACACTCCTCAGCAAATGAAAAAGAAAGGAAATCATAACAAACAGTCTCTCAGACCACAGTGCAGTCAAATTAGAACTCAGGATTAAGAAACTCACTCAAAACTGCACAACTACACGGAAACTGAAACACCTGCTCCTTAATGACTATTGGGCAAATAACAAAATTAAGACAGACATAAATAAGTTCTTTGAAACCAATGAAAACAAAGGCACCATGTACCAGAATCTCTGGGACACAACTAAAGCAGTGTTTAGAGGGAAATTTATAGCACTAAATGCCCACAGGAGAAAGTGGGAAAGATCTAAAATCGACACCCTAACATCACAATTAAAAGAACTAGAGAAGCAAGAGCAAACAAATTCAAAAGCTAGCAGAAGACAAGAAATAACTAAGATCAGAGCCGAACTGAAGGAGATAGAGACATGAAAAACCCTTCAAAAAATCAATGAATCTAGGAGCTGGTTTTTTGAAAAGATTAACAAAATAGATAGACCACTAGCCAGACTAATAAAGAAGAAAAGAGAGAAGAATTAAATAGACACAATAACAAATGATAAAGGGGATACCACCACTGATCCCACAGAAATACAACCTACGATTAGAGAATACTATAAACACCTCTACACAAATAAACTAAAAAATCTAGAAGAAATGGATAAATTCCTGGACACACAGACCCTCCCAAGACTGAACCAGAAAGAAGTCGAATCCCTGAATAGACCAAAAACAAATTCTGAAATTGAGGCAGTAATTAATAGCCTATGAACCAAGAAAAGCCCAGGACCAGATGGATTCACAGCCAAATTGTAACAGAGGTACAAAGACGAGCTGGCACCATTCCTTCTGAAACTATTCCAAACAATAGAAAAAGAGGGACTCCACCCTAACTCATTCTATGAGGCCAGCATCATCCTGATACCAAAATCTGGCAGAGACACAACAAAAAAAGAAAATTTCTGGCCAATATCCCTGATGAACATCAATGTGAAAATCCTCAATAAAATACTGGCAAACCGAATCTAGCAGCATATTAAAAAGCTTATCCTCCATGACCAACTCATCACTGGGATGCAAGGCTGGTACAACATATGCACATCTATAAACATAATCCATCACATAAACAGAACCAATGACAAACCCCTTCATGTTAAAAACACTCAATAAATGAGATATTGATGAAACACATTTCAAAATAATAAAAGCTATTCATGACAAACCCACAGCCAATATCATACTGATTGGGCAAAAGCTGGAAGCATTTCATTGGAAAACTGGCACAAGGCAAGGATGCCCTCTCTTACCACTCCTATTCAACATAGTATTGGAAGTTCTGGCCAGGGAAATCAGGCAGAAGAATGAAATAAAATGTGTTCAAATAGGAAGAGAGGAAGTCAAATTATCTGTTTGCAGATGACATGATTGTATATTTAGAAAACCACATCATCTCAGCCCCAAAACTCCTTGAGCTGATAAGGAACTTCAGCAAAGTCTCAGGATACAAAATCTGTGTGCAAAATCACAAGCACTTCTATACACCAATAATAGACCATCAGAGAGCCAAATCATGAGCAAACTCCCATTCACAACTGCTACAAAGAGAATAAAATACCTAGGAATACAACTTACAAGGGATGTGAAGAACCTCTTCAAGGAGAACTATAAACCACTGCTCAAGGAAATAAGAGAGGACACAAACAAATGGAAAAACATTCCATGCTCATGGATAGGAAAAATCAATATCGTGCAAATGGACATACTGCCCAAAGTAATTTATAGATTCAATGCTATTCTCATCAAGCTACCATTGACTTTATTCACAGAATTAGAAAAAAACTACTTTAAATTTTATATGAAACCATAAAAAGCCCATATAGCCAAGACAATCCTAAGCAAAAAGAACAAAGCTGGAGGCATCACGCTATGTGACCTCAAACTATACTACAAGGCTACAGTAACCAAAACAGCATGGTACTTTTTACCAAAACAGATATATAGACCAATGGAACAGAAGAGAGGCCTCAGAAATAACACCACACATCTTTAACCATCTGATCTTTGAGAAACCTGACAAAAATAAGCAATGGGAAAAGGATTCTCTATTTAATAAATGGTGCTGGGAAAACTGGCTAGCCATATGCAGAAAACTGAAACAGTACCCCTTCCTTATTATACCTTATACAAAAATTAACTCAAGATGGATCAAAGATAGATTTAAATGTAAGATGTAAAATCATAAAAACCCTGGAAGAAAACTTAGGCAATACCATTCAGGACATGGGCATGGGCAAAGACTTCATAACTAAAACACCAAAAGCAATTGCAACAAAAGCCAGAATTGACAAATGGGATCTAATTGAACTAAGGAGCTTCTGCACAGCAAGAGGAGCTATCATCAGAGTGAACAGACAACTTACAGAATGGGAGAAAATTTTTGCAATCTATCCATCTGTCAAAGGGCTAATATCCAGAATCTACAAGGAACTTAAACAAATTTACAAGAAAAAAACAAGCAACCCCATCAAAAAGTGGGCAAAGGATATGAACAGACACTTCTCAAAAGAAGATATTTATGCGGCCAACAAACATGTATAAAAAAGCCCATCATCACTGGTCATCGGAGAACTGCAAATCAAAACCACAATGAGATACCATCTCATGGTAGTTAGAATGGTGATCATTAAAATGTCAGGAAACAACAATTGCTGGAGAGGATGTGGAGAAATAGGAATGCTTTTACATTGTTGGTGGGAGTGTAAATTAATTCAACCATCGTGGAAGACAGTGTGGCGATTCCTCAAGGATCTAGAACCAGAAATACCATTTGACCCAGCAATCCCATTACTAGATATATATCCAAAGGATTACAAATCTTTCTACTATAAAGACAAGCACACATATGTTTACTGCAGCACTATTTACCATAGCAAAGACTTGGAACCAACCTAAATGCCTATCAATGATACACTGGATAAAAAGAAATGTGACACATATACACCATGGAATACCATGCAGCCATAAAATAGAGTGAGTTCATGGGACATGGATGAAGCTGGAAACCATCATTCTCAGCAAACTAACACAGGAACAGAAAACCAAACACCGCATGTTCTCACTCATAAGTGGGAGTTGAACAATGAGAACATATGGGTACAGGGAGGGGAACATCACATACGAGGGCCTATCGAGGGGTTGGGGGCTAGGGGAGGGATAGCATTAGTAGAAATGCCTAATGTAGATGACGGGTTGATGGGTACAGCAAACCACCATAGCACATGTATACCTATGTAACAAACCTGCACGTTCTGCACATGAATCCCAGAACTTAAAGTGTATTAAAAAAAGGAAAAAAGAATAATAGTTATTATCTTATATTTTTATATTTTCTCACATCACCAAACTCTGAAATTATGAGTGTAAATGGAAAAAGAAAGAAAATGAATACCCTTTAGAGATACCTTTTTTCTAGGCAATCTATAGTTCTTTCCTTAATTTATATTCACCTCATTTTAATTTGCTCTACAAAAAGTTAGGAGTTACCACTTTTATTTTACCAAAAGTATACTGGCTCTTGTCCTCTGCTGGTCAGGATCCTGTATTAATTTCTGTTCTACACTGGTGATGCTGAGACATGAAATATTTTATCTCTGGGACCAATTTTCAACTAGGTTTGAGGTGATGAAAGTTCTATGCTTTCCTCAGGGTTAGTAGAATCAGACCCCAGACACCCTAGCAGTCGCATACCAGTAGATTAAGATAAATATTAAATACCAAAATGTCTTCAGTGATAGTAGAAACAGGGCCTCTTTTGACTCTATCTTTTATTTGTGGGTTTATAAGGACCTGATGATGACTCAGCCTCAATACATCATTGCATGGCTTATCTGAATCAATCTGTAAAAGTGGACACAAAATAGAAGGAAGGCGGGCCTGAAATAAGGTCCTAGTCCTGTCTCTACTCTTGACAAACTGACTTACTTTGTGGAAATCACATTCTTTTCTGAGCCTTTTTTCCCTCTTTATCTAAAAATAAAAGAATTTAATACACAGTCATTTTCAGCTCTAAAATTCCATAGTTTGGCTGGCTTGGTGAGTGTATCTTTCCCTCTCCCACGGTGTGTCTTCTGAAACCATACACTTAGTGAACAAGTACAGCCTTTCCCTCACAAAGAACAATTTTTTCTGTCATGAATATATAATTTCCATGAGGACGGGGACAAACTATGCAATATCTAGATGAATAAAAGTTTAACTTGCAAAAAGTTATTAAATACTAAACCTTGAAAAGTATGTATTTTATTTGTACAACACAGCAGTCCCTAATTTAGAAAAACAAAACTAGCAAACTGGTTTTTGGCAGCTCTAAAATCCATTTGGTTTTCTTCCATTGGTTTTTATACCACAAGAATATAACACAACGCAGGTTTAGCCAAAATGGGATTACTATGGTATCAGTAATGTCATTTTTTAATATTTAAATTCAGTGACACCACCAAACAAGGTCAACAACGTATACCATATATAGGTGCCTATGTGCAATGTGACTTGAGTAATAGTGGAAACATCCCATACAAATGCTCCTTCTCCCTCTTACCTGCCATCCCTCACTAGTTCAAGGCCTGAAAATGTCTGTACAAGGCAAATGGTTCCAAAATTTTGAATTTCATGAACCAATAAAATTTTCAGAAAAAAAGTTGGATGGAGATAGGGATTGGCCACTGATGGCCAGATTTTTATTTCACCAAGTAAGAACAATAAAAAGTGAACTACTTCTACTATTTACCATTATTTCATAAAAGTTAGGACATCCTAACACAAAAAATGTAGAAAGCATATTATCTCATCATTTAAAAGATACAATTATGCATCACTTAATGATGGGGATGCCATTCTGAAAAATGCATTGTTAGGTAATTCATCATTGTTCAAACATTATAAAGTATATTTACACAAACTTGGATGGAATCGCCTACTGTGGTATAGTTTATTGCTCCCAGGCTACAAATCTGCTTGGATCATGGGTGCACCAGAATCTCAGAAATCACCACAGAAGAACTTATTCATGTAAACAAACACTACCTGTTTCCCAAAAACCTATTGAAATAAAATAAAAATAAAGATATGCAAAAAAGAGTTTAGTTGTTTACATAAAATATGGAAAGATGGTCAAAATATATGTAAAAAAAGCCAAGGTACAGACTGTGAAGTGTAGTGCCACTTGCTAAACACACACACATGCACATACTTGCACACATTCTTACACATGCTTATGAATGCATAGACTATTTCTGGAAAGACAAGAAACTTTACAATAGGGCTAGGGAGGGAAGAGACTTTTGCTTTTTAATATCTTTAATTTAGTTTGAATTATTTCTTAACATGTCCATGCACTACTTTTATACGTTAATACATTTTTTAATACAAGTGACCATATTTACTCAGTAAATACTAGTAATTATTCTTGACCTTGCAAGAAACTTCTAAAGGACAGCTTGAATACAAAGATGAGAAGAGGCCTTTAAAATGACCACAGTGCTTCAAGAGTCTGGTTGCATTTTAATACCAATAATTTATAACCAACATAAAGCCATTTTGCTTGGCCTAACAGAAAAAACATATAATTCTATGGTAGGCATACACAGCACATTTGTTGTAAACTTTGGAAGCAGACCCCCTGGATTCAATTCCCAGCTACATCACTAACTAACTGAGCAAACTTAGGCAAGTTACTTAACCTCTTTCCTTCAGTTTTCTCAACTGTAAAATGAGGGTAAAAATTGTACTCTGTTTAGATTGCTTTGGGGATTGAATGAGTTCATATGTGTAAAGCAAATGATATTAATTCTTGGTATTTAGTAAGACCCACTAAGTAATAGCTAATGTAACAGGATGCTAAATCTGACTTTCGCTGTTGTGTCAGTTTAATAGAAGGTCCAAGGCCAAAAACAATGTAATGGGCAATGAAGTGCTAGGTATTCTAGAAAGGCTTGCACAAGGAGTGGCCAAAACTTGATTCTGCCAACATTCACTCACCTCCAGGATACACAAGGATACATAAGAAAAGGCTAAGAATTTGTTGAGAATATAACGGAACAGTAGTGTAGATTTATTTAGAGAAAGTTCTTAATCACAATTATTTTGGTGTGATATTTCTGCAAGTGATTTTTGTTCTTTTTACATTTAGATTTTTCTGTATGAACACATATGTCTTATATAATAAAACAATGCCATTTTTAAAAAGTCATAAACATGCTATTTTTATTATAAAAATATTTTTAAATCATAAATAGTAAAAATGAATATAACAACTTTATGTAACTTACTGCATCTGTTTTATTTCTTGAGACTCTTTGCATCTCCAAACTTCATTCAAGTCTAAACTCTTTTATCTCTAAACTGTGCCCAATAAACTTTCTTGTTTTTGAAGATTGAAGAATTGTTTAGAAGCTTAAAGTTTACCACACTAACTTAAGCACGTGTTTTACAATAATAAATAATTACATAACTCTTGACCCTTGTGAGTGACTTTCACAAGAAAACATCTTAATGTGACTTATCAAAATTTTGGACAAACTCATTAAGTATGATTTATTTTAAATCCTTCTTAATGGTAGACACTGTGGACCATCAGGAGGTGGAGAGAAGGCGTGTGTTTAAAAAAAAATCTATTGGGTACTATGCTCACTACCTGGGTGATGGGATCCATACCCCAAACTTCAGCATCACGCAATATTCCCATGTAAAAAATTTGCATATGTCCCCCTGTATCTAAAATAGAAGTTGAAGTTTAAAAAATAAAAAAAGTTCCTCTGCATCTAAGTAAGTTTGTGAAATATAACCTGCTTTTTTCAAAAAAGGCTTTGTCTGTTCAGACATATGTTGGGCAAATGGCCTTTGATAAAATAAGAGACTCTATTGGTCTTTGATAAAATAAGAGACTCTATTGTCTTGAGTTTTATATACCCACCCTGATATTGAATATTTTGGTTGCTTTGTTCACTTAAGTTACACACTGAAAGCCTACTATGTACCAACCACTGAGTAAGGTAGCAAGGATACAAGACAAAACCACAGCACCTTCCCTTAAGTTCACAATCCCATGGGGAAGAAAGACATGAATACTAGCCATTAAAACACAATGTGGTAAGTGTTGTAATGGATAGTGTAAAGATTTCCTTCGCATGTCATGATGTCAAGATTTTCCTCACTGCCTTTTGATACCTTTTGTTTAGAAGGGTAGATGTGTAGCAATAAAATGTAGATGAACACAGCAATGAGCAATCAAGATGGGAGAGGAAGAATTGAAAACATTGGGGAGAGGAGCCTTTCTCAGACTGGTGAATAATTGAATGTGGGCAAGGAAAAAACCTCCCATACCAATTAGAGTCCAGAACAAGTCCACAGACTGACATAGTCAAGAAAACCTTGGCCTAATGAGAAAATACTATTCTAAGAGCCAGGGTTGAAATCAGCTGCTGTCCAGGCAAACAGTGAGGGAATCATCAAAAACAGTAAAAGAATAGAAACTAAACAATAAGACTGTCAGAGAAGTACCTGAGGAGAGGATGAGAAAGAGGGAGAGGAAGATAAGAGTCCAGGCAGATGATCATAATGGGATTACATTGGTGAAATAAAATTGATTTCAGACTCTCTAAAATAGATTCCTCTCCATTTACCTTGTCAGTCAGCCTCACTTATAAGTGGTGTGCTAAAATTTCCTAGCTCCTCATTTTTCCAGGAAAACAGGAGGACTATTTCTAGTGCTTTTATGGGACTGCTAGGTCACTATATAAATAATATGTGTGAAAACTTGTGCCAAGATTATTATCTTAAGCTTACAATCATTATTATTAACAAAATAGGTAAGACTACTAAACAGGATCCCAAACCCTCCCAAATTCTCTTCTACCTGCTGGCTGATACTTAAAATTGAGCTTCATTACCTTAACTCAAATTATTAGATTACTTACTATGTGCCAGGGACTGCACTAGAAATACAAAGACACCTGAAACCTATTCTTTTTCTTTTTACTTTTATTTTATGTTCGGGGGTACATGTGCAGGTTTGTTATATAGGTAAACCTGTGTCATGGGAGTTTATTGTACAGATTATTTTGTCACACAGGTACTAAGTATAGTACCCAATAGTTATGTTTTCTGACTCTCTTCCTCCTCCCACTCTCCACCCTTAAGTAAGCCCCAGTGTCTGTTGTTGTGACACAAAGTAAGTTCTCATGAGTTCTCAGCATTTAGGTACCACTTATAAGTGAGAACATGTGATATTTGGTTTTCTCTTCCTGCATTAGTTTGCTAAGGATAATGACCTCCAGCTCCATGCAAGTTCTGGCAAACGACATTATCTTATTCTTTTTCTGGGCTGCATAGTATTCCATGATGTATATCTACATATTTTTATTTATCCAGTCTGTCACTGATAGGCATTTAGGTTGATTCCATGTCTTTGCTATTGTGAATAGTGCTGCAATTAACATTCATGTGCATATGCCTTTATGGTAGAATGATTTCTATTCCTTTGAGTATATACCCAGTAATGGGATTGCTGAGTCAAATGGTAGTTCTGTTTTTAGCTCTTTGAGGAATTGCCACACTGCTTTTCATAATAGTTAAAGTAATTTACACTCCCACCAACAGTGTATAAGTGTTCCCTCTTCTCCACAACTTCTCCAGCATCTGTTATTTTTTGACTTTTTAATAATAGCCATTCTGACTGGCATTAGATGATATCTTATTGTGGTTTTGATTGGCATTTCTCTAATTATCAGTGATATTGAGTTTTTTTTCATATGCTTTTTGACCACATGTATGCCTTCTTTTGAAAAGTGTTTATTTCCTTTGTCCAGTGTTTAATGCGTTTGTTTATTTCTTGTAAATTTGTTTAAGTTCCTTCTAGATACAGGATATTAGACCTTTGTCAGATGCATAGTTTGCCAATATTTTCTCCCATTTTGCATGCTGTCTGTTTACTCTGTTGTTAGGTTCTTTTGTTGTGCAGAAACTATTTAGTTTAATTGGATCCCATTGGTCAATGTTTGCTTTTGTTTCCATTGCTTTTGGCATCTTTATCATGAAATCTCACCCATTCCTATGTCAAGAATGGTATTGCCTAGGTTGCCTTCCAGGGTTTTTATATTTTTGGGTTTTACATTTAAGTCTTTAATTTGTCTTGAGTTGATTATTGTATGTGGTGTAAGGAAGGGGTCCAGTTTCAATCTTCTGCATACGGCTAGCCAGTTCTCCCAGCACCATTTATTGAATAGTAAATCCTTCCCATATTGCTTGATTTTGTCAGCTTTGTCAAAGAACAGATGGTTGTAGGTGTGTGGTCTTATTTCTGGGCTCTCTATTCTGTTACATTGGTCTATGTGCCTGTTTTTGTACCAATACCAAGCTATTTTGGTTACTGTGTCCCTGTAATATAGTTTGAAGTTGGGCAATCTGATGCCTCCAGCTTTGTTCCTTTTGCTTAGGACTGTCTTGGCTATGTGGGTTCTTTTTTTTTTTTTTTGGTTCCATATAAATTAAAAAAATTTTTTTTTAGTTCTGTGAAGAAGGTCATTGGTAGCTTGATAAAAATAGAATTGAATTTGTAAATTGCTTTGAGCAGTATGTCCATTTTAATAATATTGATTCTTTTTAACAATACTAGATACCAGCTTTATTGGCTTCAAAGCACTATACATTTTCTATTTTTTTATTTCCAACATTTATTTTAAGTTCAGGGATACATGTGAAGGATGTGCAGATTTATTTCATGGGTAAAAGTTTGTCATGGTGATTTGCTACACAGATCATCTTGTCACTCAGGTATTAATCCCAGCATCCATTAGCTATTCTTCCTTATGCTCTTCCTCTGCCCACCACCCTATGACCAGGCCCAGTGGGTATTGCTGCCCCCGCCATGTGTCCATGTGTACTCATCATTCAGCTCCCACTTATAAGTGAGAACACGCAGTGTTTGGTTTTCTGTTCCCACGTTACTTTGCTAAGGATAATAGCCTTCAGCTTCATCCATGCCCCTACAAAAGGCATGATCTTGTTCCTTTTTATGGCCACATGGTATATATGTAGCACATTTTCTTTATCCAGTTTATCATTGGTGGGCATTTAGGTTGATTGCATGTCTTTGCTATTGTGAATAGTGCCACAATTAACATGCATGCATGTATCTTTATAATGGAATGATTTCTATTCCTTTGGGTATATACCCAGTAATAAGATTGCTGGGTCAAATTTTAGTTCTGTCTTTAGGTCTTTGAGGAATCACCACGCTGTCTTCCACAACTGTTGAACTCATTTGCCCTTCCATCAACAGTGTATTAGCATTCCTTTTTTTCCACAAACTCACCAGCATCAGTTGTTTTTTTTTTTTTTTTTGACTTTTTAATAATAGCCATTCTGACTTGCATGAGATGGTATCTCATTGTGGCTTTCATTTGCATTTCTCTAGTGATCACTGAAGAGCTTTTTTTCATATTTGTTAGCCGCATGCTTGTCTTCTTTGAGAAGTATCTGTTTATATCCTTTGCCCACTTTTTAATGGAGTTGTTTGGTTTTTTTTTTCTTGTAAAATGGTTTAAGTTTCTTACAGAGGTGGATATTAGACCTTTGTCAGATGGAGAAATTGCAAAAATTTTCTCCCATTCTGTAGCTTATATGTTTACTCTGTTGATAGTTTCTTTTGATGTGCAGAAGCTCTTTAGTTTAATTAGATTCCATTTGTCAATTTTTGCTTTTCTTGAAATTGCTTTTGGCATTTTTAATCATAAATTTTTTTGCCTGTGCCTATGTCCTGAACATTGCCCAGGTTTTCTTCTAGAATTTTTATAGTTTTGGGTTTTATATTTAAGTTTTTAATCTACCTTGAGATGATTTTTGTATGTGGCATAAGGAAGGAGTCCAGTTTCAATCTTCTGCATATGGCTAGCCAGTTCTCCCAGCACCATTTATTAAATAGAAAATCTTTCTGTTCCATTGGTCTATGTGTCTGTCCTTGTACCAGTGCTATGCTGTTTTGATTACTGTAGCCCTGTAGTATAGTTTGAAGTTGGGTAGCATGATGTCTCTAGCTTTGTTCTTTTTGCTTAGGACTGCCTTGGCTATTCAGACTCTTTTTTGTTTCCATAGGAATTTCAAAATAGTTTCATCTAGTTCTGTTATGAATGTCAATGGCTGATGTTGGTGTACAGGAATGATTTGTGTACATTGAAACTTTGCTGAAGTTGTTTATCAGGTAGAGAAGCTTTTGAGCTCATACTGTGGGGTTATCTACATATAGAATCATGTCATCTGCAAGCAGGAATAGTTTGACTTCCTCTCTTTCTACTTGGATGCCCTTTATTTCTTTCTCTTGCCTGATGGCTCTGGCTAAGACTTCCAATAATATGTTGAATAGAAGGAGTGAGAAAGAGCATCCTTGTCTTGTGCTGGTTTTCAAAGGAAATGCTGCTAGCTTTTCCCCATTCAGTATGATATTGGCTGTGGGTTTGTCATGGAATGTTCTCATTATTTTGAGGTATGTTCCTTCAATACCTAGTTCATGGAGGGTTTTCAACATAAAAGGATGTTGAATTTTATTGAAAGCTGTTTCTGCATCTATTTAGATAATCATGTGGGTTTTGTCTTTAGTTCTGTTTATGTGATGAATCACATGTTGATTTGCATATGTTAAACCAACCTTGCATCCCAAGGATGAAGCCTACTCGATTATGGTGCATTAGCTTTTTAATGTCCTGCTCCATTCAGTATGCAAGTATTTTGTTGAGAATTTTGACATCAGTGTTCATCAAGGATATTGGCCTGATGTTTTCTTTTTCTGCTGTGTCTTTGCCAGGCTTTGGTAGCAGAATGATGCTGGCTTCATAGAATAAGTTAGAGAGAAGTCCCTCCTCCTGAATTTTTTGGAATAGTTTCACTAGGAATTGTACCAACTCTTCTTTGTACACCAGGTAGAATTCAGCTGTGAATTCATCTGGTCCTGGACACTTTTTTGTTTTTGTTTTTGTTTTTGGCTGGCAGGCTATTTGTTACTAACTCAATTTTGAAGCTTGTTATTGTTATTTATCTTTTCAGGTAATTAATTTCTTTCTGGTTCAGTATTGGGGGGTGTGTATGTGTCCAGGAATTTATTCATCTCTGCTAGGTTTTCTATTTGTGTGCATAGAGGTGTTTGTAGTAGTTTCTGATTGTTGTTATTATTTCTCTGGGATCAATGGTAACATCCCCTTGTAATTTCTAATTGTCTTTATTTGAATCCTCTCTTCTTTAATAGTCTAGCTAGCAGGCTATTTATGCTATTTTTTTTTTCAAAAAACCACTCTTGGACTCATTTATCTTTTGGATGATTTTCTGTGTCTCAGTTTCCTTCAGTTCAGCTCTGATTTTAATTATTTCTTGTCTTCTGCTAGCTTTGGGATTGGTTTGCTCTTGCCTCTGTAATTCTCTTAGTTGTGATGTTAGGTTGTTAATTTGACATCTTCCTTACTTTTTGATGTGGACATTTAGTGCTATAACTTTCCCTCTTAACACTTCCTTAGCTGTGTCCCAGAGATTCTGGTATGTTGTAATTTCTGCCTTAATTTCATTATTTACCCAGAAGTCATTCAGGAGCATGTTGTTTAATGTCCATGTAATTGCATGGTTTTGCACATTTTTTTAGCCTTGCCTTCTATTTTTATTTCACTGTAGTCCAAGAATGTGTTTGCTGTAATTTTGTTTTTTTTTTTAATTTGCTGAGGATTGTTTTATGTGTTGTTGTGTGGTCAGTTTTAGAGTATGTGCCATGTTGTGATGAGAGGAACATATATTCTGTTGTTTTAGAATGGAGAGTTTTGTAGAGGTGTATCAAACCCATTTGGTTTAATGTTGAGTTAAGGTCCTGAATATCTCTAATTTTCTGCCTTGATGATCTGTCTAATACTGTCAATGCAGTGTTGAAGATTCCCACTATTGTTGTGTGGGAACCTAAATCTCTTTTTAAAATAGGGCAACAGAGTTGTGAGGCACCTTTCCAAGCCCTACCTCTGAAACAAAATTTCTAGACACACCCTGGGCCAGAAGAGCATTCACGGCATTGAAGGAAAGGACCCAGTCCTGGCAGCAGTCATCACCTGCTAATTGAAGAGCCCTTGGCCCTGAATAACCAGCAGCACTACCCAGGTACTCCATCAAGGGCCTTGGATGAATCTCTGAGAATTCCTAGCTTCAGGTGAGACTAAGCACATTACCAGCTGTGCTGGCAATAGGATAAAACCTCTTCTGTTTGAGAAAAGCAGAGGGAAAAGTAAAGGAAACTTTGTCTGCACATGAGGTACCAGCACAGCCACAGTGGTTAGGGCACCAAGTAGTTTCTTGGGATTCCTGATTCCAGGACTTGACTCTTGGATGGCATTTCTGGACCTGTTCTTGGCTAAAAGGGAGACCACTGACCTGAAGGGTGGATCCCAGGCCAGGCCAGGAAGCATTCACCACAAGCTGACATAAGAGCCTTTGGACATTAGGGAACATCAGTGGTAGTCTGGCATTACTCTCTGTAGCCTGTGATGACAGTGACTATGAGGTGAGGCTCCTCTGCCTTTGGAAATGGGAGGAAAGAGGAAGAAAGACAATGTCTTGTGGTTTGGGTGGCAGCTCAGCACCCAAACACAAGTACCATACCAGGTAGACCTCTATGGTTTTTTACTCTAGTTCCTGACTCCCAAACAGTACCTCTGGATTCATGCAGAGCCTGTGGAAACTTGCAACCCTGAAGGAAAGGACAGAAACCTGACTGGTTTTGCCACTTTCTGATTGTAGAGCCCCAGGGCCTTGAACAAACATGGGCAATAGCCAGGGAGTTGTTATGGTAGGCCTTGAGTGAGACTCAGGGCTGTGCTGGGTTTAGGTGACTCAGTGCAGTCATAATGGTAGTGGCCACAAGGGTGCTTGTGTCACTTCACCCCCATCTTTAGGTGAATGAGAACAGAGAGAGACTCTGTATATTTGGGAAAAGGTAATACAAAATAACAAGAGTCTCTGTCTAGTAATCCAGAAAATTCCCCCTGGTCTTGTCTAAGAACATCAAAGCAGTACCTCTATGAGTCTGTAAGAACCACAGCATTACTGAACATGGGATGCCCCCTAATGCAAACGTAGCTTAGATCGTAACACCGAAGTCCTTTCAAATATCTGGAAAACCTTGCCGAAAAGGACAGGTACAGACAAGCTCAGGCTGTGAAGACTACAATAAATAACTAACCTAACTCTTCAATGCCCAGACACTGAAGAATATCCACAAGTATCAAGACTATCCAGGAAAACATTACCTCATTCTATGACCTAAATAAGGCACCAGGAACCAATCATAAAGAAACAGATATATGTGACCTTTTAGACACAGAATTCAAAACAGCTGTGTTGAGGAAACTAAGATAAATTCAAGTTAACACAGAGAAGGAATGCAAAATTCCATCAGGTAAGTTCAACAAGATTTTGAGATAATTTTAAAAAATCAAATGGAAGGCCAGGCACAGTGGCTCACTCCTGGCCTGTAATCCCAGCACTTTGGGAGGCTGATGCGGGTGGATTACTAGAGCTCAGGAGTTTGAGACCACCCTGGGCAACATGGTGAAACCCCACCTTTACCAAAAATACAAAAATGTAGCCATGTGTGGTGGTATGCATCTGTGGTCCCAGCTACTTGGGAGGTTGAGCTGGGAGGATTGCATGAGCCCAGAGGGGAAAAGGTTGCAGTAAGCCAAGATCACACCACTGCACTCTAGCCTGAATGACAGAGTGAGACTCAGGCTCAAAAAAAAAAATCAGGCAGAAATTTGGGGGCTGAAAAATGCAATTGGCATACTGAAGAGTGCATCAGAGTCTTTTATTAACAGAATTGATCAAACAGAAGAAAGAATTGGTGAGTTCAATAAAAGGTTATTTGAAAATACACCATAAGCAGAGATTTTTAAAAAAGAATAAAAAAACACTGAAGCACGCCTACAGGACCTAGAAAATAGCCTCAAAAGGGCAACTCTAAGAGTTAATGTTACCAGGCGCATTGGCTCATGCTTTAATACCAGCACTTTGGGAGGCCGAGGCAGGCAGATCACCTGAGGTCAGGAGTTCCAGACCAGCCTGGCCAACATGGAGAAACCGTGTCTCTACTAAAACAAAATTAGTCAGGTGTGGTGGTGCATGCCTGTAATCCCAGCTACTCGGGAGGCTGAGAAAGGAGAATCACTTGGATCTGGGAGGTGGAGGCTGCAGTGAGCTGAGATCGCGCCATTGTGCTCCAGCCTGGTAAACAAGAGTGAAACTCCGTCAAAAAAAAAAAAAAAAAAAAAAGTTAATGACCTTATAAGGAGGTAGAGAAATAGGTAGGGATAGAAAGTTTATTCAAAGGAATAATAACAGAGAACTTCAAAAACCTAGGGAAAGATATTAATATCTGAGTACAAGAAGGTTATAGAACACCAAACAGATTTAACCCAAAGAAGAATACCTCAAGGCATTTAATAATCAAACTCCCAAGGTCAAGGATAAATAAAGGATTCTAAAAGCAGAAACAATTAACATTCAATGGTGCTCCAATATGTCTGGCAGCAGACTATTAAGTGGAAACATTACAGGTCAGGAGAGAGTGGCATGATATATTTAAAGTACTGAAGAAAAAAACTTTGACCCTAAAATAGTATATCCAGTAAAAATATTCTTCAAATATAAAGGAGAAATAAAGGCTTTCCCAGAGAAACAAAAGCTAAGGAATTTCTTCAACACCATACCTGTCCTACAATAAGTGCTAAAGAGAGTACTTCAATCAAAAATAAAGGGCATTAGTTATAAACAAAGAACCATCTGAAGGTACAAAACTCACTAGTAATAGTAAATGCACAGAAAAACACAGAATATTGTAACACTGTAAGTCTTGTGTGTGAACTACAGTTATCTTACGTAGAAAGACTAAATGATGAACTAATCAAAATAATGACAACTTTTCAAGACATGATAAATACGATAAGATATAAATGGAAACAGAAAAACATTAAAAGGAGAAGAGATGAAGTTAAGGCATAGAGTTTTTATTTTCTTGCTTGTTTGTTTTCCAATAAATTGGAAAATATTTTTAAAAATGGATAAATTCCCAGATAATAAAACCTACCAAGAGTGAACCAGGAAGAAATTCACAACCTGAACAGGCAAATAACAAGTAACAAGAATGAAACTGTAATTAAAAGTCTACCAGTAAAGAAAAGCCCAGGACCTGATGGCTTCACTGCTGAATTCTACCAAACATTTAAAAAAGAACTAATCCCAATTCTATTCAAAACCACTCCAAAAAGTAGAAAAGGGACAAATATTTCCTCTCATTCTATGAGGCCAGTATTACCCTTATACCAAAACCAAAGATATATTTTTAAAAAAACTGCAGGTCAATATCTCTACTGAATATTGACATAAAAATCCTCAACAACAACAACAACAACAACAACAAAAGCCATCCAAATTCAACAGTACATTAGAAAGATCATTTATCATGACCAAGTGGGATTTACCCCAGTGATGCAAAATGATTCAACATGCTCAAATCAATCAATGTGATACATCATATCAAGAGAATGAAAGGTAAAACTATATGATCATTTCAATTGATGCTGAAACATTCTCAAAAGAAGACATACAAATGGCAAACGGGCATATGAAAAGGTGCTCAACATCACTGATCATCAGAGAAATGCAAATCAAAAATACAATGAGATATCATCTCAACCATTTTAATATGACTTTTATCCAAAAGACAGGCAATAACAAATTCTGGTGAGAATGTGGAGAAGAGGGAACCCTCATATGCTGTTGGTGGGAATGTGAACTAGTATAACTATAAAGAACAGTTTGAAGGTTTCTCAAAAAACTAAAAATCAAGCTACCATATAATCCAGCAATCCCACTGCTGGGCAAATACACAAAAGAAAGTAGCTGCATTGCTCACAGTAGTCAAGATTTTGAAGCAACCTTCATGTCTATCAACAGATTAATGGATTAAAAAAATGGTACATATACACAAAATGGATTACTATTTAGCCATAAAAAAGAATGAGATCCTGTCATTTGCAACAACATGGATGGAACTGGAGACCATTATGTTAAGTGAAATAAGCCAGGCACAGAAAGACAAACATTTTATGTGCTCACTTGTGTTACCTAAAAATTAAAACAATTAAACTCATGGACCTAGAGAGTAGAACGATAGTTTCCAAGGCTGGAAAGAGTAGTAGGGGGAATGTAGGTGAGGTGTAGATGGTTAATGGGTCCAAAAATATTAGTTAGAAAGAATGAATAAGACCTACACTTTGATAGAACAGTAAGGTGACTACAGTCAATAATAACTTAATTCTACATTTTTAAGTGACTAAAAGAGTGTAATTAGATAGTTTGTAACATAAAGACTAAATGCTTGAGAAATGAATACCTCATTCCCCATGATGTGCTTATTTCACATTGCATGCTTGTATCAAAACATCTCATGTACCCTATAAATACATACATCTATTATGTACCCACAAGAATTAAAAATATTTTTTAATTTTACAAAAATATCCAATAAATTATGAAAATAAATCATAATAAGTCGAGACTTGTGTTGCCATTTATTTACATATTAATCAAAATGTATCACATGCCTGCATCATGACAGGTCCTGTGCCATGTGATGGAATATGATAAGACAGACATGGAGACTGCTCTCATGGGGATTATATTTCAATGTGAGGAAAGCTATAACTAGCAAGTAAACAAATTGAAAGATAATTAGAAACCGTGGCATGTACTACGAAGGAAATACAGAATGATGACACAGAGCATAACTGTTTAAGGTACTTTGGATATTATAACATAGAATCAAGTTATGATAATCAAAAGAGGGTGGTACAGAGTAGACTAATTAAGAAAAATATAAAGTTCAAGAAGAGAGACTCAGAGTGAAATCAGCAAAATGGCAATGTAAACAGCTCCAAATGCACGGTATCTTTACAAAAACATCCCCCCCCGCCCCCGACAAAAAAAAGAAACTGTCAGAAACAACTTCATTAAACCTCTGGACACTAGTTAAAACTACAGCAACCAAATGAATGCTGAATCAAGAAATAGATAAAAAGAGTAGGAAAAAAATCTTTGCATTTTTTACTTGCCCTTGCTCCACCCAGTCTCCAACTAAATGACAGTCTTAAAGATGGATGTCTTATTCTGAGTGTGGGACCCTGTTACCTGACTCTGGAAGAAACATAGCAGACCTTAATCATAAATTATTTGTCTCTTCTAACCTACTTGTGAACTACCTTAAAGACTGACAAAAGATATTCATCTTTATTTCACCTAACTCAGAATTTACTCAGGGCAGAAAAGAAGCATACATCTATAGAATAAAAGGCAAATAAAAACCTGAAACTACCTGGAGAAAAATAAAGCAGTTAAGACATATAATAGAGCACATAAAACAGAAGGAAAAGCTGGAAAGAGAGCTTCACTGGGAAATTAGAGTATTCTAAAGTGCCCCTGAATACTAAGGATTTTAGAAAGCCATGTATGTGCCCAAGGTATAATATATAATCAGAAAAGCCCCAAGAAGACCCTAAGTTTTCACTGCTCACTGATTTCTTTACTCACATGCAAACAGAAAGTAAAGTATAAGGGACAGTTGTAAACACTTTAGCTAAGTGTTAAACAAGTGTCTGAACAACATGCAAAGCCTGAGAGAGAAATTTTTGTTTTATTTTGCTTTTGTCATTCAAGGATGTCTATCGAAACACTAACTGAACATAACTTAAAGGAACAGAAACTTCAATGATCTCAGGGAAGACAATCTCTACAAAATGAGTTGGAAAAAGTCATAAACAAGTGGATGATTGCAGACTTTAACAATTTAAAATAGAAAATCTTGGGGAGAATAATCTGATTTCCAGAGTCACCATATTATAATATTGAAATGGCCACTTCTCAACAAAAAGAATCACAAAGTATACAAAGAAAAAGGAAAGTATAATCTATTCAAAGAAAAAAATAAATTCATAAAAGCTATTACTAAGGAAGCCCAAACATTGGCTTACTCTAACAAAGATCTTAATTCTATTGTCTTAAGACAATATATATCAAAGAATTGAAGCAAACTGTGGAGAAAGAAGAAAACCAGGAAACCAATATATGACTATATGACAATTAAGAATATAAATAAAGGAATATAAATTACTTTTTTGAATAAAATAAAAATTCTGAAATTTTGAAATAAGAAATTCACTACAGAAGTTTAACAGAGGGTTTTCACAGCAGATTTGACCAAGTAGAGGAATCAGTGAACTTGGTAAGACAATGGAAATTATGCAGTCTGAGAAGCAGAAAGAAAAATGAATTAAAAAAATAAACAGAGACTAAAAGACTTGTGGGACACCATCAAGCAGAGCAACTTAGGAGATCGAGACCGTCCTGGCTAACATGGTGAAACCCCGTCTCTACAAAAAAATACAAAAAATTAGTCAGGTGTGGTGGTGGGTGCCTGTAGTCCCAGCTACTTGGGAGGCTGAGGCAGGAGAATGGCATGAACCTGGGAGACAGAGCTTGCAGTGAGCCAAGATTGTGCCACTGCACTCCAGTCTGGGCGACAGAGCGAAGACTCCATCTCAAAAAAAAAAAAAAAGAATATAACTTTTACACATTACACATTACACACTAGAAGAAGAGATAGAGAAAGAACAGAGAGATTATGTTAGAAAAAAAGACTGAAACTTTCCTAAATTTATGAAACACATGAATCTACACATTCAAGAAGCTCGATTAACTCCAAGTAGAATAAACACAAAGAGATTAACTTGAAGAAACATTATAATCAAACTGCAAAAAGAAAAATACAAAAAAACTTGGAAGCAGCAAAAGAGGAGTGAATTGTCACATCCATGGAATCCTCAATAAGGCAAACTGCTAATTTATCATCAGTAACCCTGGAAGCCAGAGACAGTGAAATGACACCTTTAAAATGCTGAAAGAAAAAAACTGTCAACCAAGAATTCTGTATCTGTAAAAATTATTCTTCAAGAATAAAGGATAAATTAAGACTTTCTCAGATAAACAAAAGTTGAGAGATTTGGGTTAACCAGAGCCTTACAGATTGAACTGAAAGGACACTAGACATTAACTCAAAGCTATTCAAAGGTATAAATATCACTAATAAAGATACTACATAAATAAATAACAAAAGCCTATATTATCATATTTGGGGTTGGTAAAATCACTTTTTATTTCCTGCATAATTTAAAAGACAAGTGCATAAGGACCATTTACAAATATATTTTATTGGGCACACAGTATGTAAAGATGCAAATAATGACAATAACTTAAAGGGGATAATGGAGATGTATAGGTGCAGAGTTATTGTATTCTATTGATGGTAAGTTGGTGTCTATTCAAACTAGGTTGTAATAAATTTAGGATGTAAAATGTAATCTCCATGTAACAACTAAAATATTGAGAAAATATTTACATAATAAAGTGAGAAGAAAAATTTTAAAGTACAGTAAAAAGTCAACTAAATACAAAAAGGGCAGTGATAAAAAATGACCAAAAATTATGAGAGATCATAAAAACAAATAGCAAAATGAGAGAAATCTTTTCTTATCAGTAAACAGAAGTAAATTACACTCTCTAATTAAAATGTATAGATGGGCAGAACGGATACAAAGAAATAATCCAAATATATCCTATCTAAAAGTGATTTACTAATCCATAAATATATACACCTACTATGTACTCAAAAAAATTAAATATTTTTTTAAATTTAAAAAATAAAAATAATGTGATTTATTTTATAGATCCAAACACACAAACAGGTTGAAATTGAAAGGTTGGAAAAAAAGACATTTCATTCAAATAGCAGCCAATTAGAAAACCCAGAAATAAATTCACACTTTTACAAGCAGCTAATTTTCAACAAAGGCACCAAGAACATAATTTTGGAAAAGGACAGTCCTTCAATGAATGATTCTGAGAAAACTGGATATCCATATGCAGAAGAATAAAATTATACCCCTTATTACTCATCATTCCAATGTTAAACTCAAAATTTATTAAAAAACTCAAACATAAGACCCAAAAGTATAAAACTACTAAAAGAAAACATGGGAGAAATGCTTCACATCATTGGTCTGGGCAAAAGTTTATGGATACAACCTTAAAAGTGCAGGCAACAGGGCAACCCCCTTTGGGTCCCCTCCCATTTTATGGGAGCTCTGTTTTCACTGTGTTAAATCTTACAACTGCACACTGTTCTGGTCCATGTTTGTTACAGCTCAAGCTGACCTTTAGCTCGCCATCCACCACTGCTGTTTGCTGCCATTGCAGACCCGCTGCTGACTTCCTCCCCTCTGGATCCAGCAGGGTGTCTGCTGTGCTCCTGATCCAGCGAGGTGCCCATTGCCGTTCCCGATTGGGCTAAAGGGTCACCATTGTTCCTGCACAGCTAAGTGCCTGGGTTCAGCCTAATCAAGCTGAACACTAGTCGCTGGGTTCCACAGTGGTCTTCTGTGACCCATGGCTTCTAAGAGAGCTATAACACTCACCACATGGCCCAAGATTCCATTCCTTGGAATCTGTGAGGCCAAGAACCCCAGGTCAGAGAACAAGAGGCTTGCTGCCATCTTGGAAGTGGCCCACCACCATCTTGGGAGCCCTAAGAACAAGACCCCCCACCCGGTAACATTTTGGTGACCACAAAGGGACCTCCAAAGCGGTGAGTAATATTGGACCACTTTTGCTTGCTATTCTGTCCTATCCTTCCTTAGAATTGGAGGAAAATACTAGGCACCTGTCAGCCAGTTAAAAATGATTAGTGTGGCCACTGGACTTAAGACTCAGGTGTGAGGCTGTCTGGGAAAGGGCTTTCTAACAACCCCCAACCCTTCTGGGTTGGGAGCATTGGTCTGCCTGGAACCAGCTTCTGCTTTCAATTTTCCTGGGGAAGCTGAGGGCTGACTAGAGGCAGAAAGCTGTCATCCGGAAGTCCCAGCATTAGCCAGTTGAGATCATGGCACAGCCAGGAGTCTCTACTCAACAGTAACCCATGTGTGTGCCCCTACCTTTCCTTCTGACCCATACCTCCTGGGTCCTGACCATGAATTTCTTGAAAGTATAGCCCCAAAATTCTCCTGACCTCTGAACCTGCTTCCTGAGATCCCTGTCTCCTAGATACTAATGCTTCAGACTTTCACTTCCTCTCCCAAGTATTAGAGCAGTTTGTATCTCCAAAGGGATCTAAGGAAGCTCTATGCTGTGTCCTTAGGCCCCTAGGCTATGAACCCAGGGAGTCTTGTCCCTCGTGTCCCTCCCACTTTAGGCATACAGCTCTCAAAATGGGCAGTTATGTGGGACCCATGCCCCACCACCCTTGCCAGGGCCTTAGAACTGATAGCCCAGTACTTTAACAACTGGAACTGGGTCTACAACAACATAATAGATCAGGATGAAAGAAAATTGAGTAAATAAAAGAGAGGTGCATATTCCTATAGTGGCAAATGGGGCAACGAGCAAACATCTTTCTACTGTGTTTCCAAAATCCATCTACAAAGACAGAAAGGAGAAAGAGAGAAAGAGAAAGATAGAAGTGGTAAAGAAAAAACAGTGTACCCTATTTATTTAGAAGCTGGGGTAAATTTGAAACTTATAATTGATAACTGAAGGTTTTCTCCATGACCCTATAACACTCCAATACCACTTTGTTATCAGTGTAAACAAGGGTGTAGCCCAAAAGCACTGAGGCCACTGACAACCAGTAGCCTTCCTATCAAAAATCCTTAACCCAGGAACCCACAGATGGCCCAAATGCATTAAATCTGTAGTGGCAACTGCTTTGCTAATGGAAGAAAGTAGAAAATTATCCTTTAGAGGAAACCTGTTTGTGAGCACACCTCACCAGTTCAGAACCATCCTAAGTCAAAAAAGCAAAAAGGTAGCTTACTAACTCAAAAATCTTAAAGTATGGGGCTATTCTGTTAGAAAAGGGTAATTTAACATTAACCACTGGAAACTCCCTTAACCCAGCGGATTTCCTAACAGGGGATTTAAATCTTAAATATCATACAAAGGTCCGAGCAGACCTAGGAGGAACTCCCTTCAGGACAGGACAATAGATGGTTCCTCCCAGGTGATTGAGAGAAAAACAAAATGGGTATTCAATAATTGAGGGAAACTCGTAGAAACACAGTTAAGAAAATTGCCTAATAATTGGTCTGCTCAAACGTGTGAGCTCTTTGCACTCAGCCAAGCCTCAAAGTATTTACAGAATCAAAAAACTCTATCTCAATCCTGACTCAAAAGGTTACCTACACCCTTTCTGAAATGAATTTGCATAAGAACTGTTGTTTGTAGGAATGCATCTTGATGGGGCAACTGTGTTATTATGAAATACTCAGGAACCCAGCCCAGCTCTAGAACTCACCCCTGAGCCAAAGGCAATGTTGGGCATACTGGTAAAGGACCACTAGAATCCAGCAGCCTAGATCCCTTTCTTTGTGGTGAAGGGGGGAAAACAGGTACAGGACTGCTACATCAGTGAGCGTAACTAATCTGATAAGCAGAGGTCCATGGGTGGTTACACACCCTGGAAAGGAATAAGCATTAGGACCATAGAGGACGCTCTAGGACTAATGCTCATTGGAAAATGACTAGGGGTGCTGGCTTCCCTATGTTATTTTTTTTCAGATAGGAAACATTCCCCACGAGGCAAAAACGCCCCTAAGATGTATTCTGGAGAAGTCAGCCCAGTCAGAGTGTATGTACCTTTTTCCCTGTCAGACTTGAAGCAAATTAAAATAGACTTAGGTAAATTTTCAGATAACCCTTATGGCTATATTGATGTTTTACAAGGGTTAGGACAATCCTTTGATCTGACATGGAGAGATATAATGTTACTGCCAGGTCAGACACTAACCCCAAATGAGAGAAGTGCCACCATAACTGCAGCCTGAGAGTTTGGCGATCTCTGGTATCTCATTCGGGTCAATGATAGGATTACAACAGAGGAAAGAGAACAATTCCCCACAAGCCAGCAGGCAGTTCCCAGTGTAGACCCTCACTGGGACGCAGAATCAGAACATGGAGATTGGTGCCACAGACATTTGCTAACTTGTGTGCTAGAAGGACTAAGGAAAACTAGGAAGAAGACTATGAATTATTCAGTGATGTCCACTATAACGGGGAAAGGAAGAAAATCCTACTGCCTTTCTTGAGAGACTAAGGGAGGCATTGAGGAAGCATACCTCTCTGTCACCTGACTCTATTGAAGGCCAACTAATCTTAAAGGATAAGTTTATCACTCAGTCAGCTGCAGACATTAGAAAAAACTTCAAAAGTCCACCTTAGGCCCGGAGCAAAACTTAGAAATCCCATTGAACTTGACAACCTCGGTTTTGTATAATAGAGATCAGGAGGAGCAGATGGAATGGGACAAACGATATAAGAAAAAGGCCACTGCTTTAGTCATGGCCCTCAGGCAGCAGACTTTGGAGGCTCTGGAACACAGAAAGCCTGGGCAAATAGAATGCCTAAAAGGGCTTGCTTCCAGTGCTGTCTACAAGGACACATTAAAAAAGATTGTCCAAATAGAAATAAGCTGCCCTCTCGTCTATGCCCCTTATGTCAAGAGAATCACTGGAAGGCCCACAGCCCCAGGGAATGAAGATCCTCTGAGTCAGAAGCCACTAACCAGATGATCCAGCAGCAGGACTGAGGGTGCCCAGGGCAAGTGCCAGCCCATGCCATCACCCTCATAGAGCCCCGGGTATGCTTGACCATTGAGGGCCAGGAGTTTAACTGTCTCCTGGACACTGGTGTGAGCTTCTCAGTCTTACTCTCCTGTCCCGGAAAACTGTCCTCCAGGTCTGTCACTATCCGAGGGGTCCTAGGACAGCCAGTCATTAGATACTTCTCACAGCCACTAAGTTGTGACTGGGGAACTTCACTCTTTTCACATGCTTTTCTAATTATGCCTGAAAGCCCCACTCCCTTGTTAGGGGGAAACATTCTAGCAAAAGCAGGGGCCATTATACACCTGAACACAGGAGAAGGAACACCCATTTGTTGTCCCCTGCTTGAGGAAGGAATTAATGTGCATTAATACTCACCATTCTAACTGGCGTGAGATGTATCTCATTGTGGTTTTGATTTGCATTTCTCTGATGACCAGTGATGATGAGCTTTTTTTCATATGTTTGTTGGCCACATAAATGTCTTCTTTTGAGAAGTGTCTGTTCATATCCTTTGCCCACTTTTTGATGGGGTTGTTTTTTCTTGTAAACTTGTTTACAAGTTCCTTGTAGATTCTGGATATTAGCCCTTTGCCAGATGGGGAGATTGCAAAAATTTTCTCCCATTCTGTAGGTTGCCTGTTCACTCTGATGAAAGTTTCCTTTGCTCTTCAGAAACTCTTTAGTTTAATTAGACCCCATTTGTCAGTTTTGGCCTTTGTTGCCATTGCTTTTGGTGTTTTAGTCATGAAGTCTTTGCCCATGCCTATATCCTGAATGGTATTGCCTAGGTTTTCTTATGGTTTTAGGTCTACATTTAAGTCTTTAATCATCTTAAGTTAATTTTTGTATATGGCATAAGAAGGGGTCCAGTTTCAGTTTTCTGCATATGGCTAGCCAGTTTTCCCAACAACTTTTATTAAATAGGGAATCCTTTCCCCATTGTTTGTTTTTGCCAGATTTGTCAAAGATCAGATGGTTGTAGATGTGTGGTGTTGTTTCTGAGGCCTCTCTTCTGTTCCATTGGTCCATATATCTGTTTTGGTACAAGTACCATGCTGTTTTGGTTACTGTAGCCTTGTAGTATAGTTTGAAGTCAGGTAGCATGATGCCTTCAGCTTTGTTCTTTTTGCTTAGGATTGTCTTGGCTATGCGGGATATTTTTTGGTTCCATATGAAATTTAAAGTATTTTTTTTAATTCTGTGAAGAAAGTCAATAGTAGCTTCATGGGGTTAGCATTGAATCTATAAATTACTTTGGACAGTATGACCATTTTCACGATATTGATTCTTCCTATCCATGTACGTGAAATGTTTTTCCAATTGTTTGTTTCCTCTCTTATTTCCTTGAGCAGTGGTTTGTAGTTCTCCTTGAAGAGGTCCTTCACATCCCTTGTAAGTTATATTCCTAGGTATTTTATTCTCTTTGTAGCAATTGTGAATGGGAGTTCACCCATGATTTGGCTCTCTGATTGTCTATTATTGGTGCATAGGAATGCTTGTAATTTTTGCACCTTGATTTTGTATCCTGAGGCTTTGCCAAAGTTGCTTATCAGCTTAACTAGATTTGGGGCTGAGATGATGGGGTTTTCTAAATATACAATCATGTCATCTGCAAACAGAGAAAATTTGACTTCCTCTCTTCCTATTTGAATGCATTCTATTTCATTCTCTTCCTGATTGCCCTGGCCAGAACTTCCAATACTATGTTGAATAAGAGTGGTGAGAGAGGGCATCCTTGTCTTGCACCAGTTTTCAAAGGGAATGCTTCCAGCTTTTGCCCAATCAGTATGATATCGGCTGTGGGTTTGTCATGAATAGCTGTTATTATTTTGAGATATGTTCCACCAATACCTAGTTTATTGAGAGTTTTTAGCATGAAGTGGTGTTAAATTTTATCAAAAGGTTTTCTGCATCTATTGAGATAATTGTGGTTTTTGTGATTGGTTCTGTTTATTTGATGGATTACATTTATTGATTTGCATATGTTGAGCCAGCCTTGCACCCCAAGGATAAAGCCAGCTTGATCATGGTGGATAAGCTTTCTGATGTGCTGCTGGGGTCGGTTTGCCAGTATTTTATTAAGGATTTTCACATCAATGTTCATCAGGGATATTGGCCTGAAATGGTCTTTTTTTCTTGTGTTTCTGCCAGGTTTTGGTATCAGGATAATGCTGGCCTCATGGAATGAGTAGGGAGGAGTCCCTCTTTGTCTATTTTTTGGAATAGTTTCAGAAGGAATGGTACCAGCTCGTCTTTGTACCTCTCATACAATTCGGCTGTGAATCCATCTGGTCCTGGGCTTTTTTGGTTCGTAGGCTATTAATTACTGCATCAATTTCAGAACTTGTTATTGGTCTATTCAGGGATTCGACTTCTTTCTGTTTCAGTCTTGGGAGGGTCTATGTGTCCAGGAATTTATCCATTTCTTCTAGATTTTTTAGTTTATTTGTGTAGAGGTGTTTATAGTATTCTCTGATGGTAGTTTGTATTTCTGTGGGATCAGTAGCGATATCCCCTTTATCATTTGTTATTGTGTCTATTTGTTTCTTCTCTCTCTTCTTCTTTATTAGTCTGGCTAGTGGTCTATTTTGTTAATCTTTTCATAAAACCACCTCCTGGATTAATTAATTTTTTGAAGGGTTTTTCATGTCTCTATCTCCTTCAGTTCGGCTCTGATCTTAGTTATTTCTTGTCTTCTGCTAGCTTTTGAATTTGTTTGCTCTTGCTTCTCTAGTTTCCTTAATTCTAATGTTAGTGTGTCAAATTTAGATCTTTCCTGATTTCTTTTGGGCATTTAGTGTTCTAAATTTCCTTCTAAACACTGCTTTAGCTGTGTCCCAGAGATTCTGGTACATTGTGTCTTTGTCCTAATTGGTTTCAAAGAACATCTTTATTTCTGCCTTCATTTGGATATTTACCCAGTAGTCATTAAGGCACAGGTTGTTCAGTTTCTAGGTAGTTGTGTGGTTTTGGGTGAGTTTCTTAATCCTAAGTTCTAATTTTATTTCACTGTGGTCTGAGAGACTGTTTGTTATGATTTCCATTCTTTTGCATTTGTTTAGGAGTGTTTTACTTCCAATTATGAGGTCAATTTTAGAATAAGTGTGATATGGTGCTAAGAAGAATGTGTATTCTGTTGATTTGGGGTGGAGAGTTCTGTAGATGTCTGTTAGGTCCACTTGATCCAGAGCTGAGTTCAAACTGTGAATATCCTTGTTAATTTTTTGTCTCATTGATCTGTCTAATATTGACAGTGGGGTGTTAAACTCTCCCAGTATTATTGTGTGGGATTCTAAGTCTCTTTGTAGGTCTCTAAGAACTTGTTTTATGAATCTGGGTGCTCCTGTATTGGGTGTATATATGTTTAGGATAGTTAGCTCTTCTTGTTTCATTGATCCCTTTACCATTATGTAATGCCCTTATTTGTCTTTTTTGATCTTTGTTGGTTTAAAGTCTGTTTTATTAAAGACTAGAATTGCAACCCCTGCTTTTTTTTTGCTGTCCATTTGCTTGTTAAATATTGCTCAATTCCTTTATTTTGAGCCTATGTGTGTCTTTCCATGTGAGATGCATCTCCTGAAGACAGCACACCGATGGGTTTTGACTCTATCAAATTTGCCAGTCTGTGTCTTTTAATTGGAGCATTTAGCCCATTTACATTTAAGGTTAATATTGTTATGTGTGAATTTGATCCTGTCATTATGATGCTAGCTGGTAATTTTGCCCATTAGTTGATGTAGTTTCTTCATAGTGTCGATGGTCTTTACAATTTGGTAGGTTTTTACAGTGGCTGGTGCCATCTTTCTTTTCCATATTTAGTGCTTCCTTCAGGAGCTCTTGTAAGGCAGGCCTGGCAGTGACAAAATCTCTCAGCATTTGCTTGTCTGTAATGGATTTTATTTCTCCTTCACTTAGGAAGCTTAGTTTGGCTTGATATGAAATTCTGGGTTAAAAAAATTTTTTTAAAGAATATTGAATATTGGTCCCCACTCTCTTCTGGCTTGTAGGGTTTCTGCCGAGAGATCTGCTGTTAGTATGATGGGCTTTTCTTTGTGTGTAACCCGGCCTTTCTTTCTGGCTGCCCTTAACATTTTTTCCTTCATTTCAACCTTGGTGAATCTGACAATTATGTGTCTTGGGGTTGTTCTTCTTGAGTAGGCTGTGCGTACTTGCAGATGACATTATTTATATAGAAATTACAAGGAATCTTAAAAGGTCCTAGAACTAATAAGTGAGCTTATCAAGCCCATAGGATACAAGGTCAACATATAAAAATCAACCATATTTTTATACTAACAATGAACTCATGAAACCAAATTTTAAAATACAATCACATTTACAATTACTCCAAACAAAATGAAATACTTAGTTATGAATCAAAAAACACATATGCAGGACTATTATGCTAAAAATTACAAAGTGTTGACCAAAGAAGAACAAAGAAATTGATGAAGAGACAAATTATGTTCATGGAGTAAATGATTAAACATAGTAAAGATATCATTTTTCTGCAAATTAATCTATAGGCATAACACAATATCAAAATCTCAGCAAGGGTTTTTGTAGACAGAGAAAAGTTTATTCTAAAATTTATGTGGAAAGGCATGAGACTTAGAATAGCTAAGACAATATTGAAAAAGAAAAATAAAGTGAAACAATCACTCTACCCAATTTTATGAATTTATAAATTGCTAGATTAATAATCACAATGCGCTATTGGCATATGGATAGACATGTAGATCACTGCAAATAAACAGAAAACCTAGAAGTAGATCCATACACTTATACCCACCTGATCTTTGACAAAGGTACAAAAGCAAGTCAGTGAAGGAAGATAGCCTTTTCAACAAATGACACCAAAACAATTAGAATCCATAGGCAAAAATAATAATAATAGTCTCCATCAATGCCTCATACCTTATACAAATATATATATATATATTTTTTGAGATGGAGTCTTGCTCTGTTACCAGGCTGGAGTGCAGTGACATGATATCGGCTCACAGCAACCTCTGCCTCCCAGGTTCAAGCAATTCTACTGCCTCAGCCTCCCAAGTAGCTGGGATTACAGGCACAAGCCACCACGCCCAGCTAATTTTTGTATTTTTAGTAAAGACAGGGCTTCACCATGTTGGCCAGGATGGTCTCAATCTCTTGACCTCATGATCTACCCACCTCGGCCTCCCAAAGTGCTGGGATTACAGGTGTGAGCCACCACACCTGGCCACCTTATACAAATATTAACTCAAAATGGGTCACAGAGTTAAATATAAAACATAGAACTATAAAATCTTTAGAAAAAAGCATAGGAAATCATCTTCAGGATCCAGGGCTGAGCAAAAATGTCAAAGTTGACATCAAAAGCATAAGCCATAGGAGAAAAAATTGATAAATTGGACCTCATTAAATTAAAAATGTTTGTTCTGAAAAATAACCTGTTGAGAATAAGAAAAGACAAGCTACAGATTTAGAGAAAATATTTGCCAAGACATATCTGACAAAGGACAGGTGTCAACAATATATAAAGGATCCTCCAAATTCAATAATAATAATAGCAATCCAATTAGAAAATGGACAATAAAATTATAAATGAAAAAAGAGTCATTATAACTGTTACCACATAAACAGAAAGAACCATAAGAGATTGCTATAAACAATTATATGCCAACAAATTGTATAATCTACAAGAAATGGATCAATTCCTAGAAACATAAAACCTATGAAGACTAAATAATAAAGAAATAGAAAATGTGAACATACCAATATGGAGTAATGAAGTTGAATTGAATTGCTAATCAAAAACTTCCCAATAAAGAAAACTTTAGGACCAAATAGCTTTACTGGTAAATTCTATCAAACATTTAAAGATTAATTTTTAACAATCTTTCTCAAGATATTCCAAAAAAATTGAAGAGGAGGAAACATTTTTAAACTCATTTTACAAGGCCAGAATTACCCTCATACCCAAACCAGATAAGAATGCTGCAATAAAAGAAAATTCTTTTTTCAAAGAAAAAAATCCAAAAGACAGAAACTTCGAAAACAAGGAACATAAGCCCATACAGATGAGGAAAACAAAATATGCAAGAACTTTGGCAACTCAAGAAGCTACAGTGTCTTCTTACCTCCAAAAACTGCACTAGTTTCCCAGCAATGGTTCTTATCCAGGCTGAAATGGCTGAAATGTCAGAATTCATAATATGGATAGGAACAAATATAATTGACATTCAGGAGAAAGTTGAAACCCAATCCAAAGAACCTAAGAAATAAAAACAAAAAAATACTGGAGATAAAAGATGAGATGATCATTTTAAGAAAAAAAACACAGATGATAGAGATGAAATACTCACTTCAATAATTTTATTATATAATAGCAAGTATTAACAGGAGAATCAATAAAGCCAAGGAAACAATATCAGAACTTGGAGAACAGTTTTTCAAATAAACTCAATCAGACAAAAATAAAGAAAAACCAAAAAGAAGAATAAAGAGAACTTCTAAGAAACATGGGATTATGTAGAGAGACAAAATCTATGACTCACTGGCATCTCTGAAAGAGAGGGAGAGAAAACAAGCAACTTGGGAAATATACTTGAGGATACTATCCACAAAAATTTCCCCAACCTCACTAGGGAGGCCAACATTTAAATCTAGGAAATGCAGAGAACCCCAGCAAGATACTATACAAGATAACCATTCCCATGACACATTGTCATCAGATTCTCCAAGGTCAATATGAAAGGAAAAATATTAAAAGCAGCTAGAGAGAAGGAGCAGCTTACCTACAAAGGGAACGTTATCAGGCTAACAGTGGACTTCTCAGCAGAAACTCTATAAGCCAGAAGAGATTTGGGGTCCATATTCAGCATTCTTAAAGAAAAGAAATTCCAATCAAGAATTTTCTATCAAGCCAAACTAAGAATCATAAGTGAAGGAGAAGTAAGATCCTTTTCAGACAAGCAAATGCTAAATGCATTCATTATCATCAGACCTGCCTTATAAAAAGTCCTTCGGGGAGTGCTAAATATGGAAAGGAAACACTGCTACTTGCCACCACAAAAATATACTTAAGTATGAAGACAATGGACACTATAAAGCAACCACACAGTCAAGTCTGTATAATAACCAGCTAACAATACAATAACAGGATCAAACCTATACATATAAATATTAACCTTTAATTTAAATGGGCTAAATATCCCAATTAAAAGGCACAGAGTGGCAAGCTGAATAAAGAGGCAAGATCCAACTGTATGTTATCTACAAGAGACCTGTCTCACGTGCAGTGACATCCATAGGCTCAAAGTAAAGAGATGGAGAAAAATCTACCAGGCAAATTGAAAACAGAAAATAGCTGCAGTTCCTATTCTAATTTCAAAAAAGTCAGACTTAATACCAACAATGTTTTAAAAAACAAAGAAGGGCATTACATAATGATAAAGGATTCAATTGAATAAGAACACCCAACTATCTTAAATATATATATACCCAATACAAGAGCACCCAGATTCATTAAGCAAGTTCTTAGAGACCAACAAAGACACTTAGATAACCATACAATAATTGTGGGAGATGTGAACACCCCACTGATGGTATTAGATCATTGAGGCAGAAAACTAACAAAGATATTCAAGATCTGAACTCAACATTTGACCAAATGAACATCTACAGAACAGACCAAGTAGACATCTACAGAACTCTCCACCTCAAAACAACAGAACATACATTCTCTTCATCTGCACAGGGCATCTACTCTAAAACCGACCACACAATTGGCCATAAAACAATCCTCAGCAAATTCAAAAAACGAAACAAAACAAAATCATACCAAACACATTCTCGTACCACAGTGCAATAAAAATAGAAATCAATACTAAGAAAATTGTTCAAAACCATACAATTACATAAAAATTAAACAACCTGCTCCAGAATGACTTTTGGGTAAACAATGAAATTAAGACAGAAATCAAGACATTCTTTGAAATTAATGAGAACAAAGATATAATACATCAGAATCTCTGGGACACAGACAAAGCAGTAAGAGGGAACTTTATAGCACTAAATGCTCACATCAAAATTTAGAAATATCTCAAATTAACAACCTAACATCACACATAGAAGAACCAGGGAAACAAGAGCAAACCAACCCCAAAGCTAGAAGAAGACAAGAAATAACCAAAATTAGAGCTGAACTGAAGGAAATTAAAATGCAAAAAAAAAACCATTTAAAAGATCAATGAATCCAGAGGTTGCTTCCTTGAAACAATTAATAAGATTTTTAGATTACAGAACGCTGGCTAGATTAATAAAGCATAAAGAGAGCAGATCTAAATGAACATAATCAGAAATGACAAAAGGGACATTATCACCAACCCTACAATAATACAGAAAACCCTCAGAGACTGCTACAAACACTTCTATGCACAAAAATAGAAAACTTAGAAGAAATGGATAAATTCTTCAAAAGATACAAGATCTCAAGATTGAACCAGGAGGAAATTATATACCTGAATAGACCAAAAATGAGTTCTAAAATTGAGTCAGTAATAAAAAGCCTGCCAACCAGAAAATGCCCAGGACCATATGGATTTACAGCTGAATTCTACCAGATGTATAAAGAAGAGTTGGTACCATTCCTACTAGAACTATTCTAAAAATTTGAGAAGGAGGGACTCCTTTCTTAATTCATTCTGTGAGGCCAGCCTCATCCTGATACCAAAACCTGGCAGAGACACAGCAAAAGAAAACTTCAGGCCAAGATTCTTGATGAACATATATGTAAAAATACTAAAAAAAAAAAAATACTAGGAAACCAAATCCACCAGCACATCAAAAACTAGTCCACCATGACCAAGTAGGTTTTATCCCTGGAATGCAAGATTGGTTCAATGTACACAAATCAAAAAAAGTGATTCACCACATAAACAGAATGAAAAACAAAAACCGCATTATTATATCAATAGATGCAGAAAAAGCTTTTGATAAAATTCAACATCCCTTCATGTTAAAAACCCTCTACAAAGGAGGCATTGAAGAAACATACCTCAAAATAATAAGAGCCAACTATGACAAACCCATAGCCAACATCATACAGAATGGGCAAAACCTAGAAGCATTCCCTTTGAGAACCAGCACAAGACAAGGATACCCACTGTCACCATTCCTATTCAACATAATACTGGAAGTCCTGCACAGAACAATCAGGCAAGAGAAAGAAATAAAAGGTAACCAAATAGGAAGAGAGGAAGTCAAGCTAGCTCTCTTTGCAGATGATACAATTTTATACCAAGAAAACCCTATAGTCTCTCCCCCACAGCTCCTAGCTCTGATAAACAAACTTCAGGAAAGTTTCAGGATACAAAATCAATGTACAAAAATCAGTAACATTTCTATACATCAGCAACATCCAAGCTGAGAGTCAAATCAGAATGCAATCGCATTTACAATAGCCACAAAAAGAATAAAATACCTAGGAATAAAGCTAACAAGGAAGATGAAAGATCTCTACAATGATAATTACAAATCACTGCTGAAAGAAATCAGAGATGACACAAACGGAAAAACATTTCATGCTCGTGGATAAAAAGAATCAATATTGTTAAAATGACAATACTGCCCAAAGCAATTAACAGTTTCAATGCTATCCATATCAAATTCCCAGTGGCATTCTTCACAAAATTAAGAAAAAAACATTTTAAAATTCATATTGAAACAAAACAGAGCCCAAAACCCAAGGCAATCCTAGGCAAGAAGAACAAAGCTGGAGGCATCAGATTACCAACTTCAAATTATACTACAAGGCTACAGTGACCAAAAAAGGATGGTACTGGTACAAAAATAGACACATAGAACAATGGAGCAGAAAACAGAGCCCAGAAATAAAGCCACACACCTACAACTATCTGATCTTCAACAAAGTCGAGAAAAACAAGCAATGGGAAAAGGAGTCCCTATTCAACAAATTGTGCTGGGATAACTGGCTACCCATATGCAGAAGAATGAAACTGGATCCCTTCCTTAATCCATATACAAAAATCAATTCAATATGGATTAAAGACTTAAACATAAGACCTAAAACTATAAAAGCCCTGAAAGATACCTAGGAAATACCATTCTGGACATAGGCCTGGCAAAAATTTCATGATGAAGATGCCAAAAGTAATTGCAACAAAAAGAACAATAGACAAATGGGACCTAATTAAACTAAAGAGCTCCTGCACAACAAAAGGAACTATCAACAGAGTAAACAGCCAGTCTACAGAATGGGAGAAAATATGCATTTGACAAAGGTCTAACATCCAGAATCTATGAGAAACTCAAATGAATGTACAAGCAAAAAACAAACAACTTCATTAAAAGGTGGACAAATGACATGAGTAGACACTTCAAAAGAAGACATACATATGACCAACAAGCATATTAAAAAATGCTCAACATCACTAATCATCAGAGAAATGCAAATCAAAACTACAATGAGATACCATCTCACACCAGTCAGAATGGCTGTCATTAAAAAGTCAAAAAATAACAGATGTTGGTGAGGTTGTGAGGAAAGGGGAATGTTTATATGCTGTTGGTGGGAATAAAAATTAGTTTAGCCATTGTGGAAAGCAATGTAGAGATTTCCCAAAGAACTTAAAATAGAACTACCATTTGACCCAGCAATCCCATTACTGGGTATATACCCAAAGGAAAGTAAACCATTCTTCCATAAAGAATATAAACCATTCTTCCTTACACATATGAATGCCTATGTTCATCACAGCACGAGTCACAATAGCAGAGTCATGGAATCAATGTAAATGCCCATCAACAGTAAACTGGGTAACAAAAATGTGGTGCATATATGCCATGGCAGCTGTAAAAAAGAATGAGATCATGTCCTTTGCAGCAATATGGATGGACCTGGAGGTCATAATCCTAAGCGAAATGAGGTAGAAACAGAAAACCAAATACTGCATATTCTCACTTGTAAGTGGGAGTTAAAAATTGAGTACACATGGACAGAAAGAAGAGAACAACAGACACTGTGGCCTCCATGACTGTGGAGGGTGGGAGGAGGGAAAGGATCATAAAACAACCTATCTGGTACCATGCGTATCACCTGAGTGATGAAATAATGTGTACATCAAATCCCCATGACATATAATTTACCTATATAACAAACCTGCAAATGTACTCCTGAACCAAAAATCAAAGTTAAAAATACAAGAAAATTTTTGAAAAGGAAACCATAAAGAGTCCATGAAAAAAAAACTGTTAAAACTAATAAATTCAGTAAATTTGTAGAATACAAAATCAACATACAAAAATCAGTTGTATTTCTATATACTAACAATGAACCCTCTGAAAAAGAAATTAAGAAAACTATCCTCTTCATGACAGCATCAAAAAAATACTTATTTATATAGAATGCTATCAGCACTTCCTGCTTAAAACAGGAAGGAAGAGAAGAACTGATAGTTATAAACCCAAAATGAGTAAAATGAGGCCTTTTAATCTCGGGAACAAAAAGACAGACTCTTACAGCTACCATTTTGACTACTCATGACTGCAGCTTGTTTGTTAGTTTGTTTAAATTATATTGGACTCAAGACAGCCTGGAGATTGAATAATTGTCAGATTCAAGAATGTGCTTCATTTAGAAATCAAAGTGAGCGTTAGAACCATTTCAGAGGAGAAAGGATGCCAATAATATCTTGCTGCAAAAAAAACGTTCAATGTTACCTAACAAGAGCATTCCATAACTGACACTAAGCTGATAAATAATAATCTTAGAATTTTATAATGCATTCCCATTTTCAAAGTGCTTTCACAGACCTCATTTGATCAACAGTGAGAATCATAAAAGCAATAGTTGAGGCTCTATATTAAGAGATTTGACAAAAGTTATCAGTTTGAGTGCCTGAACACCATAATCCTTCACTCCTCATCCTATTAAGTGTGTTTTCCTATTCTCCTGGTTCTATTATTTCCACAAAGGAAAATGTTCAACCAACCAGTAACCACATATTTGCCCCCCAACCCAGCACACAACACACAATTTGGCCCACAGTTTTTCTGTATGGGTGAGAAATAAATTGTTAGGCATGGAAGAAAAGGCAATCTACAAACTGACAAAATGAATCTGAGGTTAATCCACAGATGCATGACCCAAATCAAAAATGATGAAACTAAACAAGCTGAGCCCTTGTTCTATAACCATAGCTATTATACTTCTAGGGATCCAGCTTAGCCCCATGAGACACATATTTTTATGTGTTCTCTGAAGTCCAGGAAAAAATATCTGCATTTTTGTTTGTTTTAGTCAAGGTCAAAGCCTTGACCAGGCAATACAGACAGAATAGGGATGCACATATTTATTAGGAAATAATCGACATCAGGAAAAGCACTTCTGATCATCTGTAAGCAAAACCAAAAGAAAAATCACCAAACAAGGATAAAATGAAAGGCCTGTGGAAATATTATACCCCCCAAAATATCAAGATTATGTTTTGTATTCAAATTTGTAACCAATGTTCCCTGAAGACTCACCTATACAAACTATCAAGTCAGCAGAGTTAAGATGTAGGAAAGTTCTTAATGCTCCAAACCAGAAATCATTCTTTCAGACAGTGTCTAATTCCAGTCTGGCAACTTTAAAATATAAATAACTCTGAGAGAGCAAAACCATAGTGTAAATAAAAATAAAGCTACATTTACTGGAAACATAATTTGTGCCAGGCACTGTTACATTTAAGGCTTTTAACCACCCCATAACATAGTCAAATTATTGGCCCCATTTTACAGACAAGGAATCTGGGGAACCAAGAGCTGGAAGTTGGATAACTTGTCCAAAATCACAACCAGTAAATGGTGAAACAAAGATTCCGCCCAAATCTATTTACCTCCAAAGCGTAAGCTATTAACAACTAGGGCATACAACCTCTCAGAATGCTGTTTCTTCTGCAGCACTCTACCTCCTCTAGGGGAGGGGATGCTGAAATGAAAAAAGAAAAAGAGGGAGTAGGTGAAAATATATTTGATTTGCTTCAAAAATTTTGCCCAAGCTAGTACTGTTGGTATTTTTTGAAAGCCAGGATGTTTCATCAAGAGAGGTGAAGCTAGGTTAAGGGCTGGGCCCTAAAATCAAATATTTAAATCAATTTCCCTTGGCTAGAGGGTTAGCTGGTCCCTGCTGAGGTAAAGGAAATATGCCAAAGACAACTTCAGAGCATGTCTCTGGGGAATTTCCCCTGTTACTAGGAAACAACAGAGAGGTTGTTTTTACAGCTATTTACAGTTCACAAGCACTTTCATGTGCATTAGCTCACTGTTCCCAGTGCAGTACAGGGTGGATAGCATTATCCCTTTAGTCTTATTAATTACAAATGAGAAAACTGAGACTCATAAGATGTAAGTGACTTGCTGTGCCCCAGGTCATACCAAAAGTGATGGAGCCAAAATAAACCTAGGTCTTGGGATTCCAATTTCAAGCCAAGTGAATGTTTTCCATTTACCTTCAGAGAACTCCAACAGCTAAGGCAGTTTTACAAATAGTACTTCAATTGTCCCTAAGCCTTGTTCTTACACCACTCCCTAACACACAAAAACAAGCAGGAAATACATACAAATAACACCTGGCAGATGCTGCTGTTGTGGTAAACATGGCTCCATATGTAAAAGTGGTCCTTTGCAACTAGATACTCAATGGCAATAATTCCCTGCCCTGGGAGGATAACACCCTTCAAGACCCCAAGTTATCTCAAAGTTACCCAAATATGTCTCTCCAAGAAAATATTTATAAGAAGGCATGCAGTATTTTGGGTGAGAGAAGGCATTGGGTAGGAGAGGAGGATGAAGACATAGGCAATAAAATAATTTTATCTGCATAATACCTTACGGTTTATAAAGCCTTTTCATGTCTTTCATATTATTTGATTTTTAAATTCTGTGAAATAAACAGAGCCAAGATTATTGTGATTATTTTTTCTAATAAGAACACTAAGACTCAGAATGTTGGAATAATCTATCCAAGGATGGAAAAAAAGTCATCTTGAGGGAGCCTCAGGGCTTTTGAGGGATCCTCTCTGGATTCAGTTTCCTCACCTATAATATGAAAGGGTGGGACTAGATTTATTTATTCAACAAATCAAACAAAGCAACACTACAACTAATTTGCATCATAAGTTTCCTCATATGTAGAATAAGAGGAAGACATGGATGCTCTCCCTGGTTCTCTTCAGCTCCAACATTCTATGGAAATAGAATCTGCAGGACTCTAGAACTCACCCAGATTTGCAGGGCAAGCTGAAATTTGGCCCAGGCTCTCTGTCTCCCAAACCTGCCTGGTGAGTAAGAGTGGGGGGGTTGACTCTATAATCTAGACATCCTCTCTGTATCCTTCCCATGCCCACCAACCCAGGGCGTTAAAGTCACCATTACCTGCATCTTCTCATTGTATAATCCATGGTATGTTTTTCACATCCAGTTCTCCCCATCGATAGTGGATGATCTCTCCTATGACAGTCAGTCTTTGGGCCAATTCTCATTAATGAATCTGAATTTTTTCAGAATTTTTATTTATTTTTACTTTTATATTTATGTTCAGGGGTACATGTACAGGTTTGTTACGTGGGTAAATTATGTGTTACTGAGGCTTGGTGTACAAATGATTTTGTCACCCAGGTAGTAAGCATAGCACCTGATAGGTAGTTTTTTGACCCTTGTCCCCTCCCAAACTCCCCCCTCAAGTAGTACCCAGTGTCTATTGTTCCTATCTTTATGTCCATGTGTGTTCAATGTTTAGCTCCCACTTATAAGTGAGAACATGCATTATTTCTAAACTTGACACATTTTTAAGTGATTGTAGATAATCTCCCTAATTAAGGAAAGGCCTAGCTCTCACTGAAGGTCTTTGCCTAATTCCTCCATTACTGTTCCTCTCCTGTAGCAAAAGTTGAGGTAAGAGCAAGTCTAACTGGCTCCAGTTCCTAGGCTTGGAGACCATGAAGCAGGTTTCCTGACCACACACACCCGCAGACTCTCTGTCACCTCAGCTGCCAAAATTTCCTCCAACCCAGCCCACTTCCCCATCCATACTCATCTCCAGCTGAACTCAGGGGCAAACACTAAGCAGCAGGAAGTAAAGCTGGAGCTCATCATAATCATGACACCTTTCATTTGTATAACTTTTTTGTTTTTTTTTGTTTGTTTGTTTTTTTATTGAACCTTTATGAATATTTTCTCTTTTGGTCTTGTCAGGAGAGAAAGGCAAGAACTGCAAAAATTTATGTAAAGGAGCTCTCTCATCCATGCTAACCAGATCCCACGCCCCCCAAAACACTTTAAAGCCCACAAATAGAGTCACACACACTCAATGTGCTTGAACCATGCTCAGAGATCCACACTGAATATAAATAAATATGTAGAGGTAGAAACAAATCTGCTTCCTCTTCATAGATGCCCAAAAGCCTGTATTCTTTTCCCAGCTTTGGCACTTAATTATATGAACTTGTACTGATATTCTTTACCCCAAGCTAGGTATTAATTTTAACAACTGTCCTAACTTTGTGCTGTTCAATGCAGTAGCCACATTCACATGTGGCTATGTGGCTATACTACTGAGTGCCTGAAATGTGGCTAGTGTAATTAAAATACAGAACTATTTATTTATTTTATTAATTTACAGTTAAATCTAAATAACCAGGTGTGGCTAGTGGTTAGTGCATGGCTAGTGGTGACAGCACAAAATAATGTACATAGTAATGTAACATTATTTAGATGATCTGTACCATCCTTCCTAGGTGGTCTGTGCTGTTCTGTTCACAGGGTTCATTCAACCTCATCCAGCACTCTCAGTTAGAGGGCCCTTGCCTCACTAAAAATGACAATCCAGGGTTGTTTTATACCCATGGAATAGGCCCTGGGGCAGGAAAAAGGAAAGTTGTAATAGCCATATTTCTACAGCCAGCCTGATTTTTTTCATTGTCTCCGTGTTTCTATAAGCTGGAACTAAAAGTTGAATCATGGCTATTCTAGTCTCTGTGAATGAATGTGATAAAAGAAAATCCTTAGACAAATTAAAGTTAACAGAGTTTAATTGAGCAAAGAACAATTTGTGAATCAGGCAGTTTCCAAACCAGAAAAGGTTCAGAGAGGCTCCAGTGCTGAGGTATGGTTGAAGATTTATAGATAGAAAAAGGAAAGTGATGTACAGCAAGTCAAAGTGAAATACAGAAACAGCTGGATTGGTTACAGCTTGGCATTTTCCTTATTTGAACATAGTTGGAACAGGTGGTTACCTTCGTTTGGTCAATCTTGATGACTGGTACAAGAGTAGGTTACAGTCTGTTTATACTTCTAGTTAGGTTTTAGTTCACTATGTACAGAGAAATCTTTAGGCTGAACTTAAAATATTTCCAGGAGACAGCTTTAGGCTAAACTTAATTTAACAAGCATATATGTCTGTATAGAGCTGGGCTTTGAGTATAGTCATGCTCTTTACCCTTCCAAAGTGCAATTAGTATTGGCTGTGAAAAAATTTCAGTCCTGGAGAAAGAAAAATTACTATTTTTGATTTTGTGGTAAAATAATGGCATCTTGAGAGAGCCTCTTTCTAGCCTGCTTTTTCATCTATAATATGAAAGGGTTGGACTAGATTTATTTATTCAACAAACCAAACAAGGCAATGAGCTAACAGCTGAGGACACAATGATGAATCAGACATGTCATACCCTCACAAATTCAATTTAATATAAAGTCTGAACCAGATGATGATTTTTCATTACCTCTTTCAGCTCTGAGTCCACATAAGCTATGAATCCTGTCACTTACGTGTGAACGCTGTTGTGACTGAAAATTCTTTATCTTGCTACCCAAGTCTTACTTCATTGAGACAGATTTCCCATCCAACTACATGTTATCCCCCCTCTCCCTCACCACTCCCTATTTGGTCTTCCTTACCTCAATAAGAAAGTAAGAACTGAAGGAGTCTGGGAAAATGAGCAAGAGTAGAGAGACAGCAGCAGACAGGTATCATTCTGGGCACTTCAACCTTTCCTAAAGTGAAAGAGAATGTGAGAGTAGATATGTAATGAAGATGGATGGATGGGAAGAGAAAAGATAAAGAGATGAAGCAAGGAGACAAGGAGTCTGATGTCATTTATAGCAAATGTGGTGTAAATTGATCCAGCTGTACAAGGCAAAGACCCATTTGGGAATGGGTGAATCACTGCCTTCCCCATTGCTCAAGAACAGAAAATTAGCTAATGAAAGAAACAGGTAGGGGAGCACAAAGAAGAACCACAGGAAACACCCTCTCTGCCACAGCTATTTCGGTGCCAACTTGAAGCTCAAGGATTGAAGGGGGCCTGCCCCTCCACGCCTGTGGGTATTTCTCATCAGGTGGTACGAGAGACTGAGAAAAGAAATGACACAGAGACAAAGTATAGAGAAAGAACAGTGGGCCCAGGGGACCGGCAGCCTCAGCATGTGAGGACCTGCACCAGCGCTGGTCTCTGAGTTCCCTCAGTATTTATTGATCATTATTTTTACTATCTTGGCAAGGGGAGTGTAGCAGAGCAACAGGTGGGGAGAAGGTCAGCAGGAAAACGTGAGCAAAGGATCTGTATCATGCATAAATTCAAGGAAAGGTACTGTGCCTGGATGTGCATGTAGGCCAGATTTATGTTTCACTTTATACAAACACCTCAGTGTAGCAAAGAGTAACAGAGCAGTATTTCTGCCAGCATATCTCGCCTCTAGCCACAGGGCGGTTTTATCCTATCTCAGAATAGAAAGAATGGGAATGGTTGGCTTTACAGGAGACATTCCATTCCCAGGGAGGAGCAGGAGACAGAAGCCTTCCTCTTATCTCAACTGCAAAGAGACCTCCCTCTTTCACTACTCCTCCTCAGCAGAGACCCTTTACGGGTGTTGTGCTGGGGTATGGTATCAAAGCAGAAACAATTTTTCCTGGTACAGATCAAAATGGAATTTCTTGTGTCTTCCTTTTCTACATAGACACAGTAACAATCTGATCTCTCTTATCCCCACAAAGGATCTAGCTCCTTTCTCTTTTCTTCATTTCCTGAGTATGAATTGCCCTTCCACTGTAGCTCAAAATGGCTGTAACATTTCAGACTGGAGGAAAAGTGATAATTCACTCTGTGTCTCACTTATAAATTTTCCTGTAGATATTTGGGGATCCAAACTCAGTTGAAGAAATACTAGTTTGAATGTCAGTTTAGTTACTAAAACTCCCTAGGAGAGGATTAGAAAGTCTAGTCTTGAATCCAAATGTTAACATCCCTTCAAATGTGGTTGGATAGCCTTTTCCTCCAACTATCACCATCACCACCACAATCCAGAACTCTGTGAAAAGAGATAAAGATTCAAGGGCCTTAAAGCGATTGTCCCAGGTTGGTTGTGAGGTAATTCTTGTACCTAAAGATACAAAATTTGAGTAAATGACTTTGTTCCTACAGCAGGTAGCAAGCCAGAAGGCTACTGCTGGGCTCATATTTTACAAGTACCTAAAACTAGTTGTTAGTTATGGGGCATGTTTACAAAGTGTTAACATCAACATATTTATGCCCATCTCCATATAGAATCTTCTTAATATAACTCAAGATAATTGATGTAACAAATTCACATCATGATCTTACCAATTTGGTTTTTAACATCAAAGTGCTGCCCCAGGCTTCAATCAGCACATACCAGACTGCTATGTCCCTTTTCTCCAGAAGCCATATTGAGCACCCCACAGCTCTAACACCTCAGAGCCTAGCCAAAGGCCAAGAACACTTGCCTGATCCCCCAAATTTCCAACACAGGACCATTGACAGCAAGCCCAGTCATTCCAGATCATCTTCAGTGGGACAAAAAAAGAAAACAACAGTTTTAATCCAATGGAGGCAATTTATTGTTATGAAGATTTCAGGAAACAAAGCTCAAAAAGGAACCAGAAAGGAAAAGGCTTTTTAGAATGTGGATAGAGCCACAAGTGTCATTAAGGAGAGAGAGAGAGAAACGGAGAGATGAAATTTATGTTACTTAAGATCAAGTTTCACATAATGCCAGTTATATTAGCATATACTGGCAGGATTATCTTTCCCCACCTACAAATAGTCTAATGACCTCACAGTCACAGAAATCACAGAGAACTAAGCTGAAGAGAGAACACTCGTCCCTGCTTCCCATCTTAGAGCAGCTGAATAATTTCCTGAGAATTCTATTCCTGAAGCTAGGAAGAAAAGTTTATTTATACATACACGCAACCTGCAAGTCTCCAGTTTCTATTCTTCCTTCCTCTTTGACCCTTCCCCTCCCCCACTTTGCACCAGAGAAGTCAGACTCCGGGAGTGCTTTAACAGTTTGAAGGCTAATCTGAAAGAGGAAGAAGAATCTGTATATCTGTATATATTGGCTAGCAAATGTGCCCTGCTCTCTCCCCTCTTAAAAATAGCAGCAACCCATCTTTGCAAAGAAGCTTGCCTATAGAGCAGGCACTCTGTGAATGGACTGTGCTTTTACGACCCTACAGGGTATCAAGATACTGTGCAGCTCGCCAACAAGGATTAATTGCAAGGACTGGTAGATCGAATTTACTGAAGACTTGGAGCTTGCTTCTGAGAACAAACGCAAAAGGACAGTAAACTGTGGACCTTGAAGTTAGCAGGTAAGGAGACTCAGTATTCAGTACTAAGACCAGAACAGTATGTAGTAAAATGTTGCTGATGGTAAATTTTAGCAAATTCCCAGGAGTTTGGGGATAAGTTATCTGCCTTGCCTGCTTTAAGTTTGGGTGCTAGTATGAATTCTTTCTGCTTTATTTCTTAGCCAGAAATCTGATAATATGATCAGTCTGTCAACAAATATTGCTCAGTGCTTCTGCTAGGGCTCAACGTGGCAAAATACAGAGGAGACACACTCCGCAAACCTCCTGTGCCTTTGTAATTTAAGCCAGAAATGTAAGATACATTTTCAAATCCCCATTTTGAGGGTTCAGTGGAGTTTCTCTAATGTAGTGACATTTTCCTTCAATATGGAAAATAAATATGTAGTAATTACTGAAGGTAAACCAGTGGAGAGTAAAATTTTCACAAGGTAGTTTCACATTTGTTATCCCACCTGAACCTTTCAACATCCTATAATTTAGACAAGGTAGGTGTTACTGTCCATGTTTATGAATGAGAAAATTGACTCAGAGAGGCTAAAAAATTTTCTTGAAACACACCGTACAACTAGAAAATGGCCAGTTCTGGCCAGAGACTGTAAAAATAAAGCTCTCTCAACTATAAATGAATAGAAGAAAATTGCATGATCTATTTAGTAACTCAGACACATCTGGTGTAGACTAAGTTTACACAGAGCCAAAGATTCATACATTTTAATAAAATCTTTAGCCAGGAACATTTTTCTACTTAGCGACAAAAAAGGCTGTTTTCAAGAGGAAACAAATGGGTTTGTAAGTTCCACCTACTGAATTCAGTGGTTCTGCTTTCCAGTATTCTGATTATTTTGAAACCTAGAGAGAAACTATGATACCATATGTCTAACAAATGATTATTTTAAAAGAAATTGTAACTAAATCTGGACTAGATTGTACACTGTTTTAAAAACAAAAATATTTATATTTTTACAATGCATTATAAAATACAAAGGACTGTATTACATTTAAAATACATTAGGAAAATTTGTTACAAGACAATTTTAACTTTATTACAGAAGTCTTAATCATTCAGAAATGTTTTCTGTTGTTGTTTTACTATTAATGGCTCAATTAGAACTAAAAGCTATCTGTTTTTACATCATAAACAACCTCAAGTGCTATATTTACATTCATCCATGATAAAAAAATTTTCCCCAGTTCCCCTAAGTATTGACTACACCAGCCAATCAGGGTTCCTCCAAATAAAATAAGTCAGTTTGGGAGCCAGTAAGCACACAGATAATGGTAGGTTAAGAAAAGTTTGCTATTTGCTTTTAGACTTAATCTAGCATGTTAGTGTATTCCTAATCAAGAATCATCAATTCTCATTTTCTACTACCTCCCCTTAATGAAATTTTGATGCATTTAGAAACTATTTATCTGTCATAAAAGCAAGACTCTTCCACAGTATAGAAAATTATAAATTTGTATTTTCAGTATAATTGACCAATAATAAAGGATAATAAAGGGAAGGTGCTGATTCTTAAGGTACATACCCAACCTTGTGAATTCAATACTATGAATGGTAACTATCATAATCTCCCAAATAACATTGCCCTGTATGGACCTCTACTTTGGTCCATTTTGTTATTCTCATGTTCCTAACACCTAACAGTGGCTGCTCTAAACTATCTTGCTGCATGGATTTCAATGGGAGAGAAACGGGGTAACTGGGATAACTGGGAGTTCACCCTTGTTTTGACATGTAAACAACTGGGTGTTCTCTGGCAAGTTAACAGCCATTAGTATTTCTTGGTTCCTTTGTGTATCTAATGCAGTAATGAGCTGATAGGAATATTTTCTAAATCTCTTAAAATGATAAATATAAAATCTGAAAGCGACTTGAAAATACAAACCACCATCAGAAGGATTTTGTTTAAATTCCATTCATTCCAGGTGGATAAACATATAACAAAACTGACTGCATGGGGAGACAGTAGGGCTAGCTACTTTCTACTCCCTAGACTATATTGCTAGGTCAGGGACATCACTCTAAGTCTCAGCAACCTCATCCTACTCTTAGGACCTGTCAGTAGCATCAAACACTCTGGATTATAGTTGTCACTAGCCCTACAATACTTATGCACACCTCAATGTGAACTCTAAAAGGAATAAAATATTTAAGAGTAGTATTTAAAAAGTATTTCTGTGAAAGCACTATCCACCTTTTGTTGTTACTACTTTAACCAAGCCCATTGATTCTTAGGATTATATGCTAAGGATTAAAATAGTTTTTTGCAGCAAGTTTTGAATGCAACACAATATCCCACTACTCTTTCATAAAACCACTTGTTCAATCACAGATTTGGTTATAATACAAATCACGTTTTTAAAATATATAAGTATGTCTAGTTGTGTGTGTGTGTGTGTGTGTGTCTAAAATAGAAAGACCTAAAGTCACTTTTATCTCTCACTCCAGTGTTATTTGCGTTTCAGGCCACATGAACATCTATGTGGTATGATTTAAGGGTCAGTGAGAAAAGCTTTCCCAGTTCAATCAGATATGAACAAACTGTTGAAAGATATATTTATATTAGTCAACCCTACAAAAGATAGATTAGTCAGTATGCCAATTTGTTGCTTTGCAGTGCAGAAATAAAACTGTTGGCTGGGTGTGGTGGCTCATGCCTGTAATCCCAGCACTTTGGGAGGCCGAGGTGGGCAGATCACAAGGTCAAGAGATTGAGACCATCCTGGCCAATATGGTGAAACCCCATCTCTACTAAAAATACAAAAATTAGCTGGGTGTCATGAGGCATGCCTGTAGTCCCAGCTACTCGAGAGGCTGAGGCAGGAGAATCGCTTGAACCCGGGTGGTGGAGGTCGCAGTGAGCCGAGATCGCGCCACTGCACTCAAGCCGGGCGACAAAGCGAGACTCCGTCTCAAAAAACAAACAAACAAACAAACAAAAAACTGCTAAGAAGTCTGATAGACTCATAGCAAGAAGTACATATCCTCATCCCTACAGAAAAGGCAATAAAGAAAGCCATTCCTTTATCTAATTTGATTAGATAAATCCAGACATCTTAGGTCCATTAATTCATGTTACAATCAAGGTGCTAAAACACCCTCAGATGGCAATTACTTTTGCCTTTAATTAAGATTTCTTTATGGATTAGTAGAAAAGGCCACTGTATAAATTCTTCTATCCTGCTGCTTCATTCTGTCTCATCCCACTCCATCTCATCATGACCTCTCCTTTCTCTGTGCCCCACAGTCCTTCTTCTAGATTGGGGTGGTGGGTTCATATGGAAGAAAAGAGAAAAAAATACTTTAAATTTGGGGGATAAGTTAGGAAGAGGTCCTTATAGAAATAGAGGAAAAGAGAGAGAAGAGTAAACATAAGCCCTTGGACATTTAACACATAGTTGATTTTCCTTTTGATGAATAAAATGTCATTATCTTGCTTAGAGTGCTTTCAGAATCAATACAACCCAGACATTTGAGCTCCTACATATGTGGAACTGATAGAAAAGAAACAGGAGTTCAGATCTAGACTTGAGGTCCTTGAGCTAAAGAAAAAATAGGAGACATTTGGGCATTCTTTTATTTTTCATCAATCCCTTTTCCCTAAAAGGGAAAGAAAAATCCAGTTTTGAATAGCATTTCAAGATGTCTAAAGTATATGACTTCTTAAGATTTCTCATAAATTTCAGATTAACAGTGTTTGTTTCTACAAAGGGTTGTCTTTGTGTTGTCATGGATTCACCAAGCTAAGTAGAATTGAGCTAATAATAACAACACTCAAACATCTCAGATGTGTCTTACATACTTATTCCAAAGTTCCTAGGAAATACTCAGGCCTCAGAAGGTAATAAGGCTTCTTTTCATTCCAAATTGGTTACCATTTGTGTTTGATCTGAATTTGAATTCTTACTTAAGACAAAGGGCCTTAAATAAAAAGCAATCTCCTAGAGAACAACTCTTTTGCAAGAGCCAGACATCTAAATGCCAAGATGATAGAAGCAGGCCTCAGAGTTAGCTGTAAGCAATGACCTCAGAACATCAGAGGATTCCAAGCTGCTGGTAATTAGGTAGAGAGTTATAGAGGTATTCCTGGAAAAAGGCCCTCTACTTAGTGCTTTACAAAAAGTTCAAAAGTATGTGTGTAGGTTGCAACACATTTCTATCACCCAAACTAGGGGTGAAAGTATCCTCCACTATACACTGTCACCCACACTCATGCACTCCTCAAGATCTCTATTGCCTTTTGTTAACTTTCATTTCCCTTAAGTTCTGGTCTTATGCATCCTTTTAATCTGATTACACAGGATAAAGCATTTTTGGCACAGTACAATGGAAGGGGACACACTGTCATTAGTTCTGAATGCCACAGTCCAAGGTCCTTTTTGGTTTGACAGTGTCATGTGCTTAGATTCCAACTGTCTGACAACAGAATGGCCTGAATTGATGGGTTTGACGTTCTCCTCTTAAGGAGAATAAGAGACTACAGAAGAAACACCTGAGAGCTGTCAGCAACGAAGTATCAGTTCCCCCATAGTTTTTAATACCAATGAGAATACATATCCTTGGAAATGTATTCCCAAAAAGCATATCCCTGTGAGCAGCACATCCCTGGAAATATGAAGTAAGAAAGCTACTTATTGTAATGATAGGGCTAAAGTGATCACAGACGGAAGGATCATTCTGCCCTCCTCCCCCAAATCTTTTACTACGATGGAAGAAAGTCACTGGGATCATTAGCATAGCCTGATGGTTTGTAGATTAAATCTCCATAGAGGATGAGTAGCTTTACTGTAGTCAATCAATAAACAATCACTCAATAAACATCAAATACACATTTTCCTATGTGCAAAGAGAGATATGATTGTGGGGTGGTGTGGTCAAAGTAGGTGAGCCTTATATGAATAAGAAAGAGAATAATAAAAATTTACATTTTAAAGAGCTTTGTAATTTACAAAACATTCATATTTGTTGACTCTCCTATTCATTCAGATATTGATTCAACAAACATTAATGAGTGTCTACTGTATCAAAAGATTAATACAGCATTGTCCCTAACCTCCCTGAGCTCAGAATTACAGGATGGCACAACCAACTTTTTTTCATTTGACAATAATAGGCTACATGGAGAGGAGGAAAGAGGGCACTGGGGAGTTGGTCAAATAAAAACAGGGCTCCACTGAGCTGCACCCTCTTTAAATATGTTTTCTGCATCCTGCCACTGCTCAGCAGCAGAAGAGGAAGTATCGGTTTTAGGAGCCCTGAGTCCCAGCCTCCCCACTTCCTCTTCTGCTTTGGCCCTGCCTTCATCACCCCACTCCTGTTGGCACTCCTCCAACACATACAGACTCTCCAGTGCATGCTAGCATTTACTAGAAAGGTAAAGGAAATCTTGGCAGGCGTATAACTTAATAGAATCATGAAAGTACATCCAGATACTGATTTAATCTTTTTGTCTCTGCTATTGGTTCAATCCAAAAACACCCATCAGTCTCATTCGGACCCTATAATCAAACACATCCTTGAGTCTTTGCATTTCCATTAGTCTCTGAAATATGGCACTTTTGAACTCTCCTCCAGCCCCACCAGACCACTTATGCCTTTTTTTTTTTTTTTGAGACAGGGTTTCACTCTTGTTGCCCAAGCTGGAGTGCAATGGTAAAATCTCGGCTCACCACAGCCTCCGCCTCCCGGGTTCAAGCAGTTCTCCTGCCTCAGCCTCCTGAGTAGCTGGGATTACAGGCATGTGCCACCACGCCCAGCTAATTTTGTATTTTTAGGAGAGATGGTGTTTCTCCATGTTGGTCACGCTGGTCTCAAACTCCCGACCTCAGGTGATTCACTCACCTTGGTCTCCCAAAGCGCTGGGATTACAGGCATGAGCCACCGCTATGCCGTCTTTGTTTTAAGATCTTTGCCTCCCTTTCTGCCCAAATGTGTAGATTCAATCTGCTCCACCCCCTTTCCTTTCTTCTCTGGTGATTTGTAAAATGCCCATCCATGAGTCATGGTCCCCTGCACTCTGTGAATTTTCAGGCTTCTTTTAAATAGATTCTACCCTACTAGATATATCCACATTTTACTATCACTTTACACCATTATTTAGATTCTTGCATAACAGCACCTGCACTTACACACACACACACACACACACACACACACACACACACGTGCTCCTTCCTCTGATCCTAGACATCCACCCTGGGAAATTAGATGCTCTATTACTCAAAAGCTCTTAAGACCACAAAGTTACTCTTCAAAGTTGCCCAATTAGGAGAGGAAAAGAGCAAAAAATGAAGAAAGCAACTCACTGCTACTAATGAGCTATGAGCTTACTGTCTAAATGGGTGTGACAGACATGTAAGCAAAAAGAGTAATTACAGCAATAACAGAAAAACAGAGAGCCAAATCATGAGTGAACTCCCATTCACAATTGCTTCAAAGAGAATAAAATACCTAGGAATCCAACTTACAAGGGATGTGAAGGACCTCTTCAAGGAGAACTACAAACCGCTGCTCAATGAAATAAAAGAGGATACAAACAAATGGAAGAACATTCCATGCTCATGGGTAGGAAGAATCAAGATCGTGAAAATGGCCATACTGCCCAAGGTAATTTATAGATTCAATGCCATCCCCATGAAGCTACCAATGACTTTCTTCACAGAATTGGAAACAACTACTTTAAAGTTCATATGGAACCAAAAAAGAGCCCGCATTGCCAAGTCAATCCTAAGCCAAAAGGAGAAAGCTGGAGGCATCACGCTACCCAACTTCAAACTATACTACAAGGCTATAGTAACCAAAACAACATGGTACTGGTAGCAAAACAGAGATATAGACCAATGGAACAGAACAGAGCCCTCAGAAATAATGCCACATATCTACAACTATCTGATCTTTCACAAACCTGACAAAAAACAAGCAATGGGGAAAGGATTCCCTATTTAATAAATGGTGCTGGGAAAACTGGCTAGCCATATGCAGAAAGCTGAAACTGGATCCCTTCCTTACACCTTATACAAAAATTAATTCAAGATGGATTAAAGACTTAAATATTAGACCTAAAACCATAAAAACCCTAGAAGAAAACATAGGCAATACCATTCAGGACATAGGCATGGGCAAGTACTTCATGTCTAAAACACCAAAAGCAATGGCAACAAAAGCCGAAATTGACAAATGGGATCTAATTAAACTAAAGAGCTTCTGCACAGCAAAAGAAACTACCATCAGAGTGAATAGGCAACCTATAGAATGGGAGAAAATTTTTGCAATCTACTCATCTGACAAAGGGCCAATATCCAGAATCTACAATGAACTCAAACAAATGTACAAGAAAAAAACAACCCCATCAAAAAGTGGGCGAAGGATATGAACAGACACTTCTCAAAAGAAGACATTTATGCAGCCAACAGACACATGAAAAAATGCTCATCATCACTGGCCATCAGAGAAATGCAAATCAAAACCACAATGAGATACCATCTCACACCACTTAGAATGGCAATCATTAAAAAGTAAGGAAACAACAGATGCTGGAGAGGATGTGGAGAAATAGGAACACTTTTACACTGTTGGTGGGTTTGTAAAGCAGTCCAACCATTGTGGAAGTCTGTGGCGATTCCTCAGGGATCTAAAACTAGAAATACCATTTGACCTAGCCATCCCATTACTGGGTATATACCCAAAGGATTATAAATCATGCTGCTATAAAGACACATGCACACATATGTTTATTGTGGCACTATTCACAATAGCAAAGACTTGGAACCAACCCAAATGTCCAACAATGATAGACTGGATTAAGAAAATGTGGCACATATACACCATGGAATACTATGCAGCCATAAAAAATGATGAGTTCATGTCTTTTGTAGGGACAGGGATGAAGCCGGAAACCATCATTCTCAGCAAACTAACGCAAGGACAAAAAACCAAACACTGCATGTTCTCACTCATAGGTAGGAATTGAACGATGAGAACACATGGACACAGGAAGGGGAATATCACACACTGGGGCCTGTTGTGGGGTGGGGGGAGGGGGGAGGGATAGCATTAAGAGATATACCTAATGTTAAATGACGAGTTAATGGGTGCAGCACACCAACATGGCACATGTATACATATGTAACAAACCTGCACGTTGTGTACATGTACCCTAAAACTTAAAGTATAATAAAAAAAAGAAAACTAAACAACTTTAAAAAAAGAGTAATTACAGCACTGTAATAAATGAACCATGCACATGGGAGTATTCATAGAGAATGATAACTTCAACCTAAATCTTGAAGTATAAGTATAAATTTGCCAGGTTCACCTCTTGATTATTTAAGTGTGAAAGAGGATGCATAGATCACCTTCAAGTAGCTAAGGCATAATGAGATAAGGATGCTGAACTAAGTTGGTTAAAAAAAAAAAAAAGAAACAAAGGGTCAGGAGGCATTGCAAAATAAGAATCAACAGGACTCGAGGGATAAAATAAGGATAGGGTGGAGTCAAAGATGACTGCCAGGTTCTATGCCTGACTTACTGGAAGACTATTACTGTCATTGAAAAAATAGAAACATAAGGTGGGGAAGTTAATTTTGAAGAGAAGGTTGTTTTATCTGAAAATATGTTTGAAATTTTTTAAAGGACAAGAGATCCAAGTAGAGCAATCTAATAAGCAGCTGAAAATGATAGACTAAAGTTTAGGTAAGTCATTTGTGGCTGTGGTGGACAGAGATTTGTTATTTGCATGAAAGTTTTCTTTTTATTTTTAACTTCTTCTTAAGTTCAGGGGTACATGTGCAGGATGTGCAGGTTTGTTACATAGGTAAATGGGGTTTGTTGTACAGATTATTTTGTCACCAAGGTATTAAACCTAATATCCCTTAGTTATTTTTCCTGATCCTCTCCCTCTTCCCATCCTCCGCCCTCCAATAGGCCCCAGTGTGTGTTGTTCCCTTATATGTGTCCATGAGTGCTCATCATTTAGCTATCACTTATAAGTGAGAATATGCGGTGTTTGATTTTCTGTTCCTGCATTAGTTTGCTAAGAATAATGGGCTCCAGTTCCATCCATGTCCCTACAAAGGACATAATCTCATTCCTTTTTGTGTCTGCATAGTATTCCATGGTGTATATGTGACACATTTTCTTTATTCAGTCTACCATTGATGGGCATGTAGGTTGATTCCATGTCTTTGCTATTGTGAATAGTACTGCAATGAACATACACATGCATGTGTCCTTATAATAGAAGAATTTATATTCCTTCAGGTATATACCCAGTAATGGGGTTACTGTGTCGAATGGTATTTCTGTCTCTAGGCCTTTTAAATTTAATTTTAATAGTATTGGGGGAACAGGTGGTTTCTGGTTACATGCATAAGTTCTTTGGTGATGATTTCTGACATTTCAGTGCTCCCATCACCCAGGCAGTGTACACTGTACGCAATGTGTAGTCTTTTAGCCCTCACTCCCTTCCCACCCTTCCCCGAGTCCCCAAAGTCCATTATATCATTCTTACATCTTTGCATCCTCATAGCTTAGCTCCCACATATAAGGGAGAATATATAAATGTTTGGTTTTCCATTCCTGATCTACTTCACTTAGAATAATGGTCTCCAACTCTGTCCAGATTGCTGCAAATGCCATAATTTCATTTATTTTTATGGCTGAGTAGTATTCTATGGTGTAGATATACAACATTTTTTATACAGTCATTGGTTGATGGGCATTTAGGCTGGTTCCATATTTTTGCAAGTGTGAATAGTGCTACTATAAACATGCATGTGCATGTGTCTTTTTCATATAATGACTTCTTTTCCTTTGGGTAGAAACCCAATAGTAGTATTGCTGGATCAAATGATAATTCCACTTTTAGTTCTTTAAGTAATTTCCATACTGTTTTCCATAGTAGTTGTACTAGTTTACATTTCCACCAGCAGTGTAAAAGTATTCCCTTTTCACCACACCCATGCCAACATCTATTATTTTTTAATTTTTTAATTAAGTCTTGTAGGAGTAAGGCAGTATCTCATTGTGGTTTTAATTTGCATTTCCCAGATAATTAGTGATGTTGAGTATTTTGTCATATGTTTGTTGGTCATTTGTATATCTTCTTTTGAGAATTGTCTATACATGTCCCTTTTCCACTTTGTGATGGGATTATTTGTTTTTTTCTTGCTGATTTATTTGAGTTGTTGTAGACTTTGGATATTAGTTGTTTGTCAGATGCATAGTTTGCAAATATTTTCTCCCATTCTGTGGGTTGTCTGTTTACTGTACTAATTATTTCTTTTGCTGTGCAGAATTCTTTTAGTTTAAATTTGTCTCATCTATTTATTGTTGTTTTTGTTGTATTTGCTTTTGGGTTCTTGGTCATGAAGTCTGCCTTAGCCGACATCTAGAAGAATTTTTCCAATGTTATTTTTTAGAGTTTTTATGGTTTTGGGTCTTAGATTTAAGTATTTGATACATCTTGAGTTGATTTTTGTGTAAAGTGAAAGACAAGGATCCAGTTTCATTCTTCTACGTGTGGCTTGCCAATTATTTCAGCAACATTTTCTGAATAGGATGTCCTTTCCCAGTTTATGTTTTTGTTTGCTTTGTTGAAGATCAGTTGACTGTAAGTATTTGGCTTTATTTTGGGGTTCTCTATTCTGTTCCATTGGTTCTATTGTGCCATATAGTTCACAAGAGAAGTGGGGGATAGCTGGTAGTGAAAGGCCTCACCCACCTCCCACACAGTTGGCAAGGCCAGCCTCGCTCCTATAGTGCTCCACTAATGGTGCCAAGTTTAGATCCAGGCAGCTTGCTTTTGCAGAACTCAGAACTTTTCCCAGGCCATAAGCTTCCCCGCTGAGCAAGCAAACTTGGCTTTCAGGTCTCACCCCTTCCTATCTGCCCACAGTGTCAGCTGTGGCTCCTGCATTCATATCTGCAGCAGTTCCCATTTGCTCCCTGGCTTTTGCTCAAGAAAGTTAGTGCCCAGTTGAAATTGTTGCAAAATCCAGTTGGAAACTTCTTACACCCTGTGACCCCTCCCTAATTCCACTGGGTGCGTTCCCCAAAGGCCCCTGTGACATACAGTCAGGGATGGCTTCACTGGGCTCAAGCTGGATAATGGGAGCGCCTATAAGGCTCTTCCCACTGCTACTTTTACCTTGATGGTCTTGGATAAGATGTGGGAAAATTCTACAGATTGCCAGGCAGAGATTCTTGTTCTCTTCCCTTACTTTCTTACAAACAAATGTAGTCTCTCTGTCTCTCCATCGTGAACCACCTAAAGCTGAGGGTGGAGTGACACAAGCATCCCTGTGGCTACCACCACTATGACTGTGCTGGGTCAGCACAGCACTGGGTATCACCCCAGGCCTGCTGTAACCACTCCCTGGCTACTGTCTATGTTTACTCAAGGCCCTGGGGATCTATAATCAGCAGGTGGTAAACCCAGCCAGGCTTGTGTCCCTCTCTTAATAGTAGTAAGTTTCCCCATTCTTTGGGTGGGTCCTGTGGTGCCGTTCAGGAGTCAGGGACTAGAATCAAAATGCTTAGATGTCTACCTGGTGTGCTATTGCACTGCACCTGAGTTGGCACTCAAATTACAAAATGCAGTCCTTCCCACTCTTCCCTCCCCATTCCAAAGCAGAGAAGCCTCATCTCATGGCCACCATAACTATAGACCCATGGAGACTACTGCCAGACTACCACCAATGTTCCCTTAAGGGCCAAGTTCCCTTCAGTCAGCTTGTAGTCAATGCTGCCCAGCCTGGGACTCACCCTACAGAACAGTAGGCTCCCTTCCAGCCCAAGAAACATACAGAAATGCCATATGAGAGCCATATACTTGATTTGAGGACCCTGCGAGGTCATTTGGTGGTCTACCTCCCTGTGGCCAAGCTGGCATATAAGGTGTAAGACCAAATTCCCCTCACTTTTTTCTCTCCCTTCCGAAGCAGAAGGAATCTTGCCTCAGCCACCAGAGCTTGGAATATGCTGTTTCACCTGAAGCCAGCAGCTCTGTGTCACCAAAGACCATCAGCAATGTACCTGGATATCATTTCTGTTTATTCAAGGCCCAAGGGCTCTTCAGTTGGCCGGTGATGAGTGTTGCCAGGACTAGGTCCTTCCCTTCAAGGCAGCAGGTTCCCTTCAGAGTATGTCTAGAAATGTCATTCAGGAGCTAGGGCCTGGAAAGGGGGCCTCATAGCTCTAACAGGTGCCCTATCCTGCTATGGATGAGGTGGTATCCAAGATGCAAGATAAAGTCCTCCCCACTTTTCTCTTTTGTCTCTTCAAGCAGAAGGAAGGCATCTATTTTGGACTTGCAAGCTGTGCAGCCTGGGATAAGAAGAAGGATGATATAAGCGCTCTCTTGGCCTGGTTGGTGTCTCTGTAGGTCACATGCTTCTCTAGTCCACTGTATCTGGGCACAGTTTAGCACTAGGACGTTCCTAGGAGTTGCAGTCCTTGCAGCCTAGGCTGCCTTTCAAGATTATTTAGAGCCCCAGGGCACTTTACCCCTGGTGGCAAGGCATGCAGGAACTCAAGTTCTGACTGTTGGAGTGAGTAATTCTCCCCTGACTAAGGCTGGTTTAAATGCTCTCTCTGTGGGCAGGTGTCAGTTGAGTTTCATCCAGTTCTTCTTTCTGCTCTAATAGGACAGCACTGAGTTCAATGCCTCACAATTTCTGCACTCTCCCTCTCTGGCACACAGAAACACTCTTCCCACCACACTGTCACTGCTAGGGAATAGGAGATTAGTGGCATTGGTAATTCAAAGCTGTTTTTTCTACCTTTTTAGTGCCTCTTTCTGCAATATGAAATTAAAACCAGGTACTATGAGTACTCACCTAATTTTTGGTTCTTGTGAAGGTGATTTTTTTGTAGCTAGTTGTTAAAGTGACATACCTGCAGGGAAGACAATTGGTGGAGCCTTCCATTCTGCCTTCTTGCTCCATCCTCTGATACAATTACTATTTTTGAAAAGTACAAAGAAGAGCTAGAGACAAATTAAGTGAAAACAGAAATTTGAATTCTGTGGGTGAATCATCAACTCTCTAGTCAAGTGTTCTCCAAGGTTCTAACATCCTGAGAATACACTGTACTTCCTTCCTCCTAATTCTTCCACATCTGACCTTTCTAACCCTTTATTTACTGTGCCTTCTGAAACACCCTTTCCATTATGAGTAAATTCTCCTATGTCCTAAACCTCTTCAAATAATTCTCTCACCGTGTCCTTGCCTTAAGCTAACCTTGGTCTTTCTCATCAAAAGTGTGCTGCTTATTTTTCTACATCCCATATACTGTGAGCCAGAATCTATTAGCTGTCTCTTGGCTCGCTGATGCTACTCTAAATCATTACTTTTCTACCATAATGCAAAAAGACATTCATCTATGTCACCCTCTAATCTTTCTTATTCACATCGTCTGTCAACCTCTTAGACAGTTCTCCTCTCTACCCCCTAAATTATATGATCACTTTGGTAACGTCATCTTCCATGTGAACAACCAACCCAACAAACTGACTTCAATTTTTCTTACCACCTTATCTGAAACAATGTCCATTCACATTCCATCTTGGTTACTCATTCCATGCCCACGTCCAGGGCCTTATTTGTCACCACAGAACTGAAATTTGGAACTCCAATGTACAACACTCTGACTAAAGCCCATAGACTTTCAGACACCCCCTTTTACCACTACACCAGTTCATACATCTCAGTGAGTCTTCAAGTCTTTTGTGCTCTCCCTTTTCTGCCAATCTATTAAATTTCTTCATAATTTTACTTTTAGCTATTATTTTGGTTGCATTCTATTGTTGCTAATTTTATTTTTTCTGGTTTCAACTTTTATTTAGATTAAGGGGTACATTGTGCAGTTTGTTATATGAGTATACTGCATAATGCTGAGGTTTGGGGTACAAATGATCTCAACACCCAGGTAGGGAACATAGTACCCAATAGGTATTTTTTCAGCCCATGCCCACTTCCCTTTCTCCCCCATCAGGTAGTCTCCAGTGTCCATTGTTCCAATATTTATGTCTATATGTATTCAATATTTAGCTCCCACTTGTAAGCAAGGAAATGTGGTGTTTGGTTTTCTGTTCCTATGTTAATTTGCTTAGAATAATTGCCTCCAGCTCCGTCCATCTTGCTGCAAAGGACATGATTTTGTTTTTTTATATAGCTGCATAGTACTTCATGGTATATATGTACCACATTTTCTTTAACCAGTCTATCATTGATGGCCATTTATGTTGATTCCACATCTTTGCCATTGTGAATAGCAGTTTGATGAATATGTGCATGGATGTATTTTTGATAGACTTAATTATTTTCCCTTGGCTATATAGCCACTAGTGGGGTTGCTGAGTCAAATAGAGTTCCATTTAAAGTTTTTCAACAAATCTCCAAACTGCTTTCCATAGTGACTGAACTAGTTTGCATTCCCACTAACAGTGTATAAGCACTCTCTTTTCTCCACAGCCTCACCAGCATCTGTTATTTTCTAGCTTTTTACTAATTGCCATTTTGACTGTTATGAGATGGTATTTTACTGTGGTTTTAATTTGCATTTCTCTGGTGATTAGTGATGTTGAGTATTTTTTATGTTTGTTGGTTGCTTGTACATCTTCTTTTAAGAAGGGTCTGTTCCTGTTCTTTCCCCATTTTTAAATTGGATTATTTTGTGCTTGTTGATTTATGTTCCTTATAGATTCCGGATATTAGACCTCTGTCAGGTGTACAGCTTGCAAATATTTTCTCCCATTCTGTAAGCTGTATATTTACTTTGTTGGTAATTTCTTTTGCTTTGCAGAAATTCTTTAGTTAAATTAGGTTCTACTTGTTTATTTTTGTTTTTGTTGGAATTGATTTTAGGGACTTAGCCATAAATTATTTGCCAAAATCAATCTTGAGAAGGGTGTTTCCTAGGTTTTCTTCTAGTATTTTAAGGTTCGAGGTTTTCCATTTAAAACTTTAATTCATCTTCAGTTAATTTTTGTATATAGTGAGAGGTATAGGGTCCATTCTTTTGCATATGGCTAGCCAGTTATCCCAGCACCATTTGTTGAATAGGGAGTCCTTTCCCCATTGCTTATTTTTGTCAATTTTGTCAAAGATCAGATGGTTGTAGGTGTGCAGGTTATTTCTGGGTTCTATATTGTGTTCCATTGGTGTATGTGTCTGTTTTTGTACCAGTATCATGCTATTTTGGTTACTGTAGTCTTATAGTATGGTTTGACGTTGAGTAATGTGATGACTCAAGCTTTGTTCCTTTTGCTTACAATTGCTTTGGTAAATTAGGCTTTCTTTGGTTTCATATGAATTTTTAGAATTCATTTTTCTAACTGTGAAAAATAACATTGGTATTTTGATAGGGATAACATTAAATCCATAAATGGCTTTGGGCAGTATGGCCATTTTAACAATATTGATTCTTCCACTCTATGAGCATCGAATATTTTTCCATTTATTTGTATCATCTCTGATTTCTTTTAGCAGTGTTTTGTTATTCTCTTTGTAGAGCTCTTTAATCTTCTTGATTAGATAAATTTCTAGCTATTTCAATTTTTGTGGCTATTGTAAATGGAATTGTGTTCTTGATTTGGTTCTTAGCTAAAATGTTTTTGGTGTACACAAATGTGACTGATTTTTGTACATTGATTTTATATTCTGAAACTTTACTGAATTTTTTGTTAGTTCTGGGAGTTTCTTTGCAGTGTCTTTAAGGTTTTCTATGTATATAATCAGCAGCAGCAGAGAGATAGTTTGACTTCTTCTTTTCCTATTTGAATGCCTTTTATTGCTTTGCCTTGCCTAATTGCTTTGTCTAGGACTTCTTTGGAAGCATTCTTAACTTCCTTACTCCATTGTCCTTTCATAACATTTGCTCTGTGGCCCCCGGTTTTAGATCAATTGAAACATTTGTGTATTTTCTCTCCTACACCCAGGGTGCTTGCTGAGCACTACTGGAATAAATCACACAATCATGCAGACTGGGGCTGTTAAAAATTCACATTCTCAAACCTCAATTGGGCCATCAGTCCCTTCTTGGTCATATTTCTCTCCCATTCTACAGAGCCAATTATTCCAACCTCCACCAATCTTTCAATGAGCTGAACCCTACTGCAGCCCATTTCTTTTTCTCAGCAGATAATATTGTCTCTTATTTTATCAAGAAAATTAAACCTCTCAGGGATGGGCAACCTCTATATTTACAGCTCTACTTCCTCTTTCCCTTATATATCAGTATTCTTTTCTCACTCTGCATGCTGTAGTAGCTTTCAATTCCCTAGAAGATAAACTCAAATTATCTAGAATGGTATATAACACCCTTTAGGATATACTTTCTGCATTTCTTTTCTACCTAATTTCTCACTTTTAAGCCCCATAGTCCAATCACACACACACACACGCCCACACACCCACACACGCCCAAACACACATACACGCACATGCATACTACTTTCATCTTATATTTTAGCCATATCAAAATGTTAGATGTTCCTTAAATATGCCAGGCTACTTCACACCTCCATTCCTTGCTCATTCTACTTTCTCCTCCTACCTAGGATACTCTTCCCCATATGCCCCACCCTTCTCTCTTTCATAAAGCCTTTTCTACAAATACATGCACCCATTTACTACTTTTATGCTCTGTGTCCTTTATCAACTTCTATCACAGCAGCTGTAATAATGCAGTGCATTTATTTGTTAACATACTTGTGTCTTCTTCTAGTAGACTGTAAGCCCTTAGTGGGCAAGGTCTGTGTCTTGTTTTCCAAATATCTAGCACCGAATTGATACATATTAAGTGGCTAATCCATCTCCTTTAATATAACTAGTATTTCAAAGCAATACAGAGCATCTAGAAAGTTTTTAGGGAAGAGGTGATATAAGAGATTGTCTTAACGATGGTTAGAATTACATATAATAGTGATGACGACAAAGGGCATTTTATAAATGGCAATACAGCATTTTGCCATCCCTAAAATGCCCTGAGCAAAGAAAAAGAGACAAAAGGAGAGATGGAGCTATTCATAGCATAATTTGCATGATACACATATGGTAAACAACAGGAAAGTAACTCTATGCAGTTAGGAGGGAATATTATTGTAGTCTTGAATAGTTCTTTGAGGTTAATTAATAGGCCACTGGAGACCTCTGAGAGGGAAAGGATATGATTTGAACTGTGCTTTAAGAATAATTCATCATAAGTGATAAGGACAGATTGAACAGAAGATAAACAAGAAAATTAAAAAGAAATTTGTAAATTTTAAATTCAGCAAACAGTATTCCCACATTGTAAACAAAGAGCAAAAATAATGGATCAATCCTTGCCTTTTGTGCAGTCCTTTGTACAACAGTATATTTAACTGTCATGATTTGTAGCAGTATATGAATTTGTCTTGTGCCAGTGTCTATTGAAAGGCTTTGTGGAATCTGAAACTTAATTATATGGTTTGTCTTTACTCTGCCACTAATTCTGTCTGTTACTTTCAGCAGTCATTTTAACTTTCCGGGTCATGAGGGGAGTGTATTAGATGTTCTCCAAGTGCTCTTCCATCTCTAACATTCTATAAAACTAAGTCATTCAATCCCAAACAGAGATTTTTATAGCCTCTTCTGGTAGCTTCCTTTCACTGAGTAACTCTGCTTGATAATTGTTTTCAGTAACCTGACACATACCCCTTTTTATTACCTGTTCAAAGTGACTTGGTTCACCTCACAGTTGTGTGGGAACATAGCTGTCATCTCTTTTCATATTATTCACTTCGTGATCATATTTGGTCTCAAATCCTTGTGAAAGCCTGAACACCAGAACACTGATAAGTTACTCTTTGTCATGCCATTTCTTATTCTAAAGGGTGCCCAGGAATTACTGGAAGAATTTTTCAAAGAATTGAATACACCTTAGAGAATCAAATTTCATATTATGCTAATAGGTTTATAGTAACAGGAGGGGTCCTGAGAAGTCATTCAGTACCATCGAATGGGACAGGAATTATACCTTTTCCTGTAAACAATAAGGGGCTTCTAAAAAGGGAGAAGGTGTGATCAATGTGGTGTTCAATCAGGACTACCTCTTCATTGCTGATATACTTTGCACACTTATACCAATTTTTCTTCTCTCTCTCCCGCCTTCTCTCTCTAGCTCTACTTGCAACTAAACAGTACATTTCTTGACTGGTATTTGACAAACTACACAAATTTACTTGGCATTCACCTTAGTCCTACCTCCTATCTCATTTAATTTTTCAGTTATTCAGATTTTTAACTTCCATCCACCAGTTGACAACATCTGCATAAAATAATGACTCTCTTTCCTTGCCTATAATTGAGGATATTAATAACGCAGTGGTAGACAAAGCCCAATCCTGTGAAATATAGCTATATCTCTCCCAGGGAAACACAGATCAGGTGTCATCCTCACACATAATCCCTGCCACCAATTCAATGCCAAGCAGTAACACCTAGTGAGGGCTTACCATGTCCCAAGCCCTGAGTTAAGCTCTAAGAGAGCACAAAGATGAGTGAAACCTGCTCCCTGTCCTAAGGAGTTTCAGTTAAGAAGCACTAAGCCAAGTACATAAATGGACATAATAGAGGCTTAGAAAAATATTTTTGAATGAATGCATATAATAACACTAGGCAGAAAGTAGTAAGTTCTATGGTTAGACCATATTTTATAAAATTTAAAGTTTCAAATCAGGCTGGTGGGCTCTTTACAATTCCAGCTTGATTTCTTCTTAGTACATCTTAGTATTTAATATAAGCTGATCTTGTCAGTATCTTTACCAAAATCTTTCTAGATATAAAAATTAAACTTAGAGGCTCCATTTCCAGCCCTATTATTTAAACTTTCACTTGAACCTCAGGAAATTTAGCTGAATTAATTAAATTAATAGTTTGGGGTAATTAAGGCTTAGGTAAACAAGATTCAGCAGACATTTCTTTTTATTTATGACAAAACCATAAATGATTAATCATATAATCAAAATCAGTTTAATTCAATCCAATTTAATTCAATTAATAACTTTTCACGTACCATTTACATACACAGTTATAAGGCCACTTCCATTTCATTCTACTCACTAAGAATGGATACATGGCTATGTATTTCTAAGAGGAATGTAACTACATTACTGTTTTCTGCAACACTTGGGGAAATAAGGTACAGTCTGCTCCTCCACACCAATCAGGCAACTGGACAGTTTTGTTTCCCCATTGATTCCCTCCTTAATGGTACCATGTGCTTTTTTTTTTCAAGAGCTTCTTTCAGCACTACAAAAACCTCCCTTTACCTTGGAAACCTCAACTGCATCCCCAGATTTTGCTATACTTTGGCATAGAAACCTCACCTGGACTCAGGCCAAAGATCCCTGATAAACTCTTTTTGTTTGGAGCATTTATATGCAGACTCTACTCTGTTTCACTCCCACCTTGCCAGAAATATGTCTGAGATAAGTAAATATTCACCTGAAGCACCTTGACTAATCACTCAAACATTTTTATTTACAAGTCCACACTTCTGCTGCTGCCACTCTTAGGGATTTTTATAGCTTGGCTTTAGAACACATTTTCCTCCTCAGAAAATCCCTCCTAGACATTCACTCTTTGGTAGGCAAAATTCAAAGATGACCCCAAGTATTCTTGTCCCCTGATGTACAAGTCCTGTATAAACTCCTCCCCTTGAGTCTGAGTGGGACCTGTGGATATAATGGGATTTCATTTCTTGATTAGGTTACCAATTCATTGATTTTCAGTTTATCAAATAGTGGATTATCCTGGGCCTACTATTCAGATGAGCCCTTTAATAGGAGGTCTAGACATCAGAGAAAGTATCAGAAAGATTTCGAGGAGAGATATCTCTCCTGATGGCCTGGAAGAAAACAAACAGCAATGTTGTAAGATAATAAGACCATGTGTCAAGGGCCTGAAGGTAGCCTTTAGGAGATGAGAGTCATCCCTGGTCAACAGCTAGCAATAAAATGGGACCTCAGTCACACAACTGCAAGGAAAGAATTCTGCTAATGACAAATCATCTTGGAAAAGGACCTTAAGCCTCGGAGGAGATACTAGTTCTGGCTGACAATTTGATTGCAGTGTTGTGAGATGCTAAGCAGAAGACCCAGTTTTTAACTAAACTCCCAACCCACAGAAACCATGAGAAAATAATTGGATGTTGTTTTTAGTTGGTGGTAATTTGTTACACTATAGAAAACTAACACACCTTCACATCTTCTTTCTTTCTTTTTCTCTTTTTATTCACAATGACAATCCAAACAGAGGTTGAAAAGTCACGTTAAAAGTTTTAATCCTTGTAATTTAGTTAAAAATTTATTACTTCATTGAAAATATTTTCTCCCAGATCACCACTGGCCTCCTAATTACCAAGTCCAATTGTCATTTTACAAACTTCATTCTCTTTGGTCTTTTGGAACATTTCAAACCAATGACCACAATCTTTCTTAAAAACCACTCCTTTGGATTCTACAATACTACACATTTTTCATTTTTTTCCTCTCTGATACCCTTTTGCTGTCTTTTCTCCTTTATTATCTTCATTTTACAGATGAGGAAACAGTATCAGAGAAGTTAAGTAACTTGCCCAAGGTCACACAGCTAAGTGAAGAAATAATGATTCAAACTCAGACCAATCTTGGACAAAGACTATTGTGTTATTGCCACTTTATCCATATTGTATTTGCTTCATTAGAAAATTAAGCTAATTTTTCTCCTTTCTTAAAGGAGAAGTCATTTACTATAAAAAGAAGTCTTTATTTATAAAACAGGGCACTTACTATAAATAAGAGATGGTATAGAATAAAACTAAAAACCCTCAATGGAGGCTGGGTGCAGTGGCTCGTGCGTGTAATCCCAGCACTTTGGGAAACTGAGGCAGGCAGATCACCTGAGGTCAGGAGATCGAGACCAACCTTGCCAACATGGTGAAACACGGTCTCTACTAAAAATACAAAAATTAGCCGGGCATGGTGGCGGGCACCTGTAATCCCAGCTACTCAGGAGGCTGAGGCAGAAGAATTGCTTAAACCTGGGAGGCAGAGATTGCCGTGAGCCAAGATCATGCCATTACACTCCAGCCTGTGTGACAGAGCGAAACCTCCTCTCAAAAAAAAAGAAAAACCCTCAACGACCATAAGTTCTAGTGTTTTGATTTTTAGATCCCACAAATAAGTGAGAACATGTGATGTTTGTCTTTCTGTTCCTGGCTTATTTCTCTTTTCACTTAACATAATGATCTCTAGTTCTATATATGTTGTTGCAAATTACTGGATCTAATTTTATGGCCAAATAGTATTCCACTGTGTATATGTACCACATTTCCTTTATCCATTCATCTGTTGATGAACACTTAGATTGCTTCCAAATCTTAGCTATTGTAAATAGTTCTGCCAAATGCCCATTGGCAGATGAATGAGCAAAGAAAAGGTGGTATATGCATAAAATTGAATATAATCCAGCCACAAAAAAGGAAGGAAATTCTGTAATATGCAACTGCATGGATGAGCCTTGAGGGCGTTATGCTAAGCAAAATAACCCAATCACAGAAAGATAAATACTGCACTTATTCCACTTAAATGAAATATCTAAAATAGTCAAATTTATAGAATCAGAAACTAGAATGGCATTTGCCAGGGGCTGCTGGGAAGGTGAGGAATGGGCATAAAATTTCAGTGAAGCAAGATGAATAAATCTTAGGATCATCTTCTAAGCAATGAAATATCCATTTTGATGTTGCTATTTATCCAATCTAGAAAAAAAATAAATTTTTTTCCTTATAAGTAATATCTTGGAAGGTACTCAAGTATATCTGATGTCTCCAACAACCCTAATCAGGGGAGCTGTCAGGGACAACTTTGATCAGAAGGGTGAGGGTGGAAGTTTGTTTGCTTTTAGGGATTTGGACTCTAAAACAATCTGAAGAGATTGCCTTAATTCTGGAATTTGGTTCCCAGAAGACTGTGAGAAAATTTCCAAAAATATACAAAAAAGAGCAATTGTTTTACTAAAGTCAAAGGCTTTATTTATTGCACTTTGTTGGAGCAAAACAAGTTACAAATGTTTTTACTTGGGGCAAAGAGGACTCATTTGTTTAAGTTATTAAGGGCCCAAGAACCAAAATGGTCCACATTAAGGAAGAGATATACTTTCCTGGGAATCAAAGCCTGTTAGAAACTCTATAGAGTAGATTTCAGGCATCAGCTAAGATATGAACAAATGGATCATTGGATTTGGAATCTTGAAGCCATACTGTTTCCAGACCAAACTGAGGGTCGGGCTGATATTTCTCCTGGCCCAATAACAAGATGTAGATGCACTGGGGGAAGAGAGCTTTTATTTCTGTAACCGATTACAGGGAGAAGGCTTAGAAATTATCACCAGACCAACTCAAAATTACAAAGTTTTCCAGAGTTTATATACCTTCTAAGCTATATGTCTATGTGTAAGTGTGCATTCATCTAAAGACATAGCAATTAACTTATTTGAATCTATAACTAAGGTCTGAGTTTTGAAGATCTTCCTCTGGAGCCTCAGTAAATTTACTTAATCTAAATGGGTCTAGGTGCTGAGGTGATTACCCTTATCTTGTCTCCTGCTAAGTCACGGAGGTTTGGGGAGTTCCTTTAGACCCCAATAAACTTCTTTGTGGAGGCCTGGGGAGTTTCTTCAGACCCCCAATAAAGTTTGTTTAATCCTAAATGGGTCCTGTTAAGAATTCCTTCATTATTTTGTCATGCTTTAAGGCCCAGGAAAAGCCTAGGCAAAACTCTTGGTGGACTCTTTGTTAAATTCCAGCTCTCACATAAGGGCACTGGCTTTTAATATTTAACTTAACCACTCAGTCAGTATTGAAATAGTTATTACGGAGGTCTGAGTTAGTGAAACCTGGCACGCCACAATACGATCAAGCAGGATGGACTTCTCATACAACAAATGATAAAAATGAGCTATCAAATACGATTTCAGGAGTTTCTCTCTTAGAAGGCCTGAAGAATGGTGGTGCTATAGTCAGAACCAGAGATGGCATAACTTGTAAAACAAAAAGGATAAGTCCAGGAAGAAAGACCTGTGGGCTTTGACAAGTGAGACAACTTTAAATCATAAATTTAGCACTTTGTTTAGAAATCACTTTCAAATCTAGAACTGTGCTGCCTTTAGAGTGCCTGACCAAGCCTGTATTCTGAGCACAGCTAATACACTCAAAGAAGAATTGAGTCTTTCTCTCAGATATCACCTAGAAGAAGTTCAGGGAACATCTAGTAGTCTTAAGTCAAGATCACAAACAACTTATGTCCGTGTTTCTCTTCATTGAAACTATAAATCTCTTATCCTACAGCTCTCAAAAAACAGAAATACCCTGATTCACAGATTTATAGTATGGTAGGTTAGAAGGGACTTCAGAGATCATATAATTCAAGCCCTATTGTATAACAGATAAGTGAAGAGATCATAAAAAAAGAAGTGATTTGCCCAAGATCACTCAATTAATCATCCACTGAAGCCTGAGGTATAATCCAAATCTTTGGCCTAATAGTCCTATGAATTTTCCACTATGTTTATTGTCTTTGTCCACGCAACAATTGTCACTGATTTTGACAAGACATCAATTAAATCATACAGAAAATGGATTAACTCAAATAAATTAATATTTAAAGGGCACTGTACTACATACAGCAGGATATACCAAAAGAATGACTTATTCATTGCCTTGACAGTCTAGTGGGACTGGGGTAGGATTAATGGGGAAGTTTAAATTGAATGACCAGGGACTCGAGGTGGAGCAAGATGGTAAAATAGAAGGCTCCACTGATTGCGCCCACACACACCTCACAAGGACACCAATTTAACAACTATCTACATTAAAAAAAAACCTTTGTAAGAACCAAAAATCAGGTGAGCTCTCATAGCACCTGATTTTAACTTTGTAATGCTGAAAGAGGCACTGAAGAGGTAGAAAAAACAGTCTTGAATTGCCAACTCATCCCTCCCACATCTCCTAGCAGTGGCAGCATGGTGCAGAGAGTATTTCTTTGTGCTCGGGAAGAGAGAGAGCAGCAATTGTGAGGCATTGAACTCAGTGCTGTCCTGTAACAGCAGAAAGGAAAACTGGATCAAACTCAGCTGATGGCCACCCATGGAGGGGGCATTTAAACCAGCCCTAGGCAGAGGGGAATTACAGACTGCAGCAGTCAGAACTTGAGTTCCCACAAGTCTTGATGCTGTGGGCTACAGTGTTCTGGGGCTTGAAGTAATTTTGAAAGACACTCCAGGCCACAAGGACTGCAACTCCTAGGAGAGTCCTAATGCTGAACTGGGACCAGAAACAGTGGACCTTGGGGGTGGTCTCATGACCTACTGAGACAACAGCTGGGGTGGCTAAGAGAATGCTGGCATCATTCCTCCCCTAACCCCTGGCTACACAGCTCATGGCTCCAAAACAGACCCCTTACTTCCACTTGAATAGAGGACAGAGAAGAGTTGGGAGGACTTTGTCTTCCATCTTGAATACCATCTCAGCCACAGAGGATAGGGCACCAGTCAGAGTCGTGAGGCCCTTTTCCAGATCCCAGTTCCTGGACATTTCTAGATACACCCTGGGCCAGAAGGAAGTCTGTTGCCTTGAATGGAAGGACCCAATCCTGTCAGTATGTACCACCTAATACCTAAAGACCTCTTAGGTCCTGAATAACCAGCAGTAATACACAGCTACTATGTCAAGGGCCTTTGGTGACACTCTGAGACTTGCTATCTTCAGATGAAAATTGGCACATTATCAGCTGTGGTGGCTATGAGGCAAGACTCCATCTGCTTGAGAAAAGCAGAGGGAGAAGTAAAAATGAACCTTGTCTTGCACCTCAGGTACCAGCTCAGCCAGAAAAAAAATGTAGGGCCCCAATGTGGTCTTTAAGTTTCCCTGATTACAAAACTTGGCTCTTGGATAGCATTTCTGGACCTTCCCTGGGCCAGAGGGGAGCCCACTGCCATGCAGGGTGAGTCCAAGGCTAGGCAGCATTCACCACAAGCTGGTAAAGAGCCTTTAGGCCTTAAGGGAACATTGACAGTAGTCTGGGAGTACACCCTTTGGGCTTGAGGTGGCAGTGACCATGGGGTGAGGCTCCTCTGCCTTTGAAAAGGGGAGATGATATGGTTTGGCTGTATCCTCACCCAAATCTCATCTTGATTTGAAACTCCCACAATTCCCATGTGTCGTGGGAGGAACCTGGTGGGAGGTAACTGAATCACGGGGTTGGGTCTTTCCAGTGCTGTTCTTGTGATAGTAAATAAGTCTCATGAGATCCAATGGTTTTATAAAGAGGAGTTCTCCTGCACAAGCTTTCTCTCTTGCCTGCCACCATGTAAGGTGTGGCTTTTGCCTTCTGCCATAATTGTGAGGCCTCCCCAACCACTTGGAACTGTGAGTCAATTAAACCTCTTTTTCATTATAGATTACCCAGTCTCAGGTATGCCTTTATCAGCAGCATGAAAACAGACTAATAACAGTAACTTGGTACTGGAAGAGTGGGGTGCTGCTGTAAAGATACCCAAAGATGTGGAAGCAACTTTGGAACTGGGTAACAGGCAGAGGTTGAAACAGTTTGGAGGGCTCAGAAGAAGAAAGGAAGATGTGGAAAGTAGAACTTCCAAGAGACTTGTTGAATGGCTTTGACCAAAATGCTGATAATAATATGGACAATCAAATCCAAGCTGAGGTGGTCTCAGATGGAGATGAGAAACTTGTTGAGAACCAGAATAAAGGTGACTCTTGCTATGTTTTAGCAAAAAGACTCGTGGCATTTTGCCCCTGCCCTAGAGATTTGTGGAACTCTGAACTTGAGGGAGATAATTTAGGGTATCTGACAGAAGAAATTTCTAAGCAGCAAAGCATTCAAGAAGTTACTTGGGTGCTGTTAAAAGCATTCAGTTTTAAAAGGGAAACAGAGCATAAAAGGTCAGAAAATTTGCAGCCTGATGATGCAATAGAAAAGAAAAACCCATTTTCTGAGAAGAAATTCAAGTCAGCTGCAGAAATTTGAATAAGTAATGAGAAGTCAAATGTTAATCACCAAGACAATGGGGAAAATGTCTCTAGAGCATGTCAGAGACCTTTGCAGCAGCCCCTCCCATCACAGGCCCAGAGGCATAGGAGGAAAAAATGGTTTCATGGGCCAGGCCCAGGAACCCCTGCTTTGTGAAGCCTAGAGACTTTGTGCCCTGCATTCCAGCCACTCTAGCCATGGCTAAAAGGAGCCGAGGTACAGCTTAGGCTGTGGCTTCACAGGGTGCAAGCCCTAAGCCTTGGCAGCTTCCATGTGGTGTTGAGCCTGTGGGTGGACAGAAGTCAAGAATTGAGGTTTGGAAACCTCCAGCTAGATTTCAGAGGATGTATGGAAATGCCTGGATGTACAGGCAGAAATTTGCTGGAGGGGCAGGGCCCTCATGAAGAACCTCTGGTAGAGAGAGCTCATACAGGGGAACTCCAATTTAGAAAAACATCATATTTCATAAGACTTATTCACTATCATGAGAACAGCATGGGATAGACCTGCCCCCATGATTCAATTACCTCTAACCAGGTCCCTTTCATGACACATGGGAATTATGGGAGCTACAATTCAAGATGAGATTTGGGTGGCAACACAGCCAAACTATATCACTGTTTGTTTGGAAGAAAGTAAAGAAAGAGAACAAGTCTCTGTCTGGTAATCTAGAGAATTCTCCTGGATCTTGCACAAGGAACCTCTATGTGTCTGAAAGAACCAAAACATTGCTGGGCTTGGGGTGCCCCCTAAAGCAGATACAGTTTAGATTTCAACACCCAAGTGCTCTCAAATATCTGGAAAGCCTTCCCAAGAAGGGCAGGTAAAAACAAGCCCAAACTGCAAATGCTGAAATAAATACCTAATTTTTCAATGCCCTGACACAGATGAACATCTACAGGTATCAAGACCATCCAGGAGATCATGACCTTGCCAAATGAACTAAATAAGTTTCCAAGGACCAATATTGGAGCAACAGAGATACGTGACCATTCACACAGAGAATTCAAAATAGCTTTGTTGAGGAAACTCTAAGAAATTCAAGATAACACAGAGAAGAAATTCAGAATTCTATCAGGTAAATTTAACAAAGATTAAAATAATTTAAAAGAATCAAGTAGAAATCCTGGAGCTGAAAAATGAAATAGACATGTTGAAGAATGCATCAGAGTCTTTTAATAGCAGAATTGATCCAAAGAAAGGATTAGTAAACTTCAAGACAGGCCATTTGAAGATACATAACCAGAGGAGACAAAAGAAAAAATAATAAAAAACAATGAAGCATTCCTACAGGATCTAAAAAATAGCCTCAAAAGGGCAAATCTAAGAGTGATTAGCTTTAAAGAGGAGGTAGACAAAGAAATAGGGGTAGAAAGCATGTTCAAAGGGATAGTATCAGAGAACTTACTAAATCTAGAGAAAAATATCAATATCCAAGTGCAAGAAAGTTATAGAACACCAAGCAGATTTAACCCAAAGAAGACTACCTAATGGCATTTAATAATCAAAATTTTCAGAGGTCAAAGATAGAGAAAGGATATGAAAAACAATATGAGAAAAGTAACAAATAACATACAATGAAGCTCCAATACCTCTGGCAGCATACTTTTCAGTGAAAATCTTACAGGGCAGGAGAGAGTGGCATTACATATTTAAAGTGCTGAAGGAGAAAAATTCTACCATAAAATAGTGTACCTGGTGGAAATATCCTTCAAACATGAAGGAGAAATAAAGACTTTCCCAGACAAAAAAAAAACTGAGAAATTTTATTATCATCAGATCTGTCCTATAAGAACTGTTAAAGGGATTACTTCAATTATGAAAAGAGTACATTAGTGAGCAATAAATAATCACTTGAATGTACAAAACTTACTGGTAATAGTAAGTACACAGAAAAACACATAATATTATAACATTGTAACTCAGTGTGTGAACTACTCATATACTAAGTAGAAAGATTAAACAATGAACCAATCAAAAATAATAACTACAACAACTTTTCAAGACATATTTTGTACAATAAGATATGAATACAAACAACAAAATGTTAAAAAGTTGTGGGATAAAGTTAAGGCATAGAATTTTTATAAGTATTCTTCTTGCTTTTTCGTTTGTTTGTTTATGCAAATAGTGTTAAGTTTTTATCAGGTTGAAATAATAAATTATAAGATAGTATTTACAGGCCTCATGGTAACCTCAAACCAAACAATGTACAATGGATGCACAAAAAATAATAAGCAAGAAACAATCATATCACCAGCAAAAATCACCTGCACTGAAAATGGGAAGAAAAAAAGAAGGAAGAGAAGAATATAAAACAACCAGAAAACAAATAACAAGATGACAGGATTATCTCCCTACTTATTAATAATGACATTGAATGTATATGAACTAAACTCTCCAATCCAAAGACATAGACTGGCTGAAAGGATGAAAAAACAAGATCCATTGACCTGATGCTTACAAGAAATACACTTCACTTATAAAGGCACACATAGACAGAAAATAAAAGTATGGAAAAAAGACATTCCATGCCAATAAAAAACCAAAAAGAGCAGGAGTCACTATACTTACAACAGACAAAATAGATTTCAACCCAAAAATATAAAAGACAAACAAAGTCACTAAATTATCTTAAATGGGTCAATTCAGCAAGAGGATACAACAATTTTAAATATATATATGCATCCAACAAGGGAGCATCCAGATATATAAAGGAAATATCATTAGAGATAAAGAGAGACATAGGCCCCAGTACAATAATTATTGGAGACTTCAACACCCCACTTTCAGCATTGGACAGATGTTCCAAACAGAAGATCAACAAAGAAAATCAGACTTAATCTGCACTACACACTAAAAGAATCTAACAGATATTCACAGAATATTTCATCCAAGAGCTGCAGAATACACATTCTTTTCCTCAGTACTTAGATTATTCTCAAGGATAAACCATATGTTAGGTCACAAAACAAGTCTTAAAACATTCAAAAAATTGAAATAATATCAAGAATCTTCTCTGTCCACAATGGAATAAAACTGGACATTAATAACAGGAGGAATTTTGGAAACTATACAAATACATGGAAATTAAACAATAAGCTCCTGAGTGACCAGTTTGTCAAGGAAACAATTAAGAAGGAAATTGAAAAAATTTTTGAAACAAACGATAATGGAAACACAACATACCAAAACCTATGGGATATAGCGAAAGTGATACTAAGAGGGAGGTTTATAGCTGCCAGCACCTACATTATAAAAAACAGAAAACTTCAAATGAGCAATCTAAAAATGCATCTTAAACAACTAGAAAAGCAAGAGCAAAGCAAACCCAAATTAGTGGAAGAAAAAGAATAATAAAGATCAGATAAGAAATAAATGAAATTGAAGTGAAAAAACAGTATGAAAGATCAATGAAACAAAAAATCAGTTTTTTGAAAAGTTAAGCAAAATTAACAATCCTTGAGCTAGACTAAGAAAAGAGAGAGATCCAAATAAATAAAATCACAAATGAAAAAGGAGACATTACAACTGATACTGCAGAAATTCAAAGGATTATTAATGGCTACTATAAGCAAGTATATGTCATGAAATTGGAAAATCCAAAAGTAATGGACAAATTGCTAGACACGTGCAACCTACCAAGATTGAACCAGAAAGAAACCCAAAACCTGAACAGATCAATAACAAATAACAAGTTTGAAGTTATAATAAAAAGTTTACCAGTAAAGAAAAGCCTGAGACCTGATGGCATTACTGATGAATTCTACCAAACATTTAAAGAACTCATACCAATCTTCAAACTATTTCAAAAAATAGAGGAGGAGGGAACACTTCCAAATTTATCCTAAGAGGCCAGTATTACCTTGATACCAAAACCAAACAAACATACATCAAAAAAGAAAACTAAAAGCCAATATCTCTGATGAGTATTGATGCAAAAATCATCAATAAAATACTAGCAAACCAAATTTGACAATACATTACAAAGATCATTCATCTTGACCAAGTGGGATTTATCCCTGGAATTCATGGTTCAACATGTACAAATCAATCAATGTGCTACATCATATAAAGAGAATAAAAGACAGAAAACATATAATCATTTTAATTTTATGCTGAAAAATATTTTGGTAGAATTCAGCATCCCTTCATGATCAAAACTCTCAAAAAACTAAGTATAAAAGAAACATGCCTCAAGTAATAAAAGCCCTATTACAACAGACTCACAGCTAGAATTTTACTGAATGAGGAAAAACTAAAAGTCTTTCCTCTAAGATCTGGAACAAAACAAGGATGCCCACTTCCACCACAATTATTCAACATAGTACTGGAAATCCTAGCTAGAGCAATCAGAAAAGAAAAAGAAATAAAGAACATCCAAGTTAAAAAGGAATAAGTCAACTTATCCTTGTTTGCAGATGATATAATCTTATATTTGGAAAAACCTAAAGATTCCACAAAAAAATCATTAGAACTGAAAAATAAATTCCATAAAGTTGCAGGATACAAAATCAACATACAAAAATCAGTAGCATTTCTATAAGCCAACAGTGAACAATGTGAAAAAGAAATTTTAAAAGTAATCCTATTACAAGAGCCACAAATAAAATTAAATACCTAGGAATTAACCAAAGAAGTGAAAGATTTCTATAAGAAAACTATAAGATACTGGTGAAAGAAATTGAAGAGGATACCAAAAAATAGAAAGATATTTCGTTTTCATATTTTGGAATAATCAATATTTTTTAAATGTCCATACTACCCAAAGCAGTCTATAGATTCAATGCAATTTCTATCAAAATATCAATGACATTCTTCACAGAAATAGAAAAAACAATGCTAAAATTTATATGGAAACACAACAGACCCAGAATAGCCAAAGCTGTCCTAAGCAAAATAAGAAAACTGGAGGAATCACATTACCTAACTTGAAATTATACTATTAAACCATAGTAACCAAAACAGCATGGAACTGGCATAAAAACAGACAGGCAGACCAACGGAACAGAATAGAGAACCCAGAAACACAATCACTCACCTATAGTGAACTCATTTTCAACAAAGTTGCCAAGAACATACACTGGGGAAAAGACACACTCTTCAACAAATGGTGCTGGTAAAAATAAATATCCATAGGCAGGAGAATAAAATGTGACCCCCATCTCTTACCATATACAAAAATCAAATCAAAATGGATTAAAGACTTAAATCTAAGGCCTCAAGCTTGAAACTACTACAAGAAAACATTGGGGAAATGCTCCAGGACATTGTTCTGGGCAAAAAAAATATTGAGTAATACCCTACAAGCACAGGCAACCAGAGCAAAAAATGGACAAATGGGATACTATCAAGTTAAAAATCTTCTACATAGCAAAGGAAACAATCAACAAAGTGAACAGAAAACCCACAGATTGGGAGAAAATATTTGCAAACTACCCATATGACAAGAGATTTATAACCATAATATATAAGGAGTTCAAACAATTGTATAGGAAAAGAAATCTAATAATTTAATCAAAAAATGGGCAAAAGATTTGAAAAGACATTTCTCGAAAGAAGACATACAAATGTTAAATAGGCATATGAAAAGGCATTCAACATCATTTATCATCAGAGAAATACAAATCAAAACTGCAATGAGGTATCATCTCACCCAAGTCAAAATTGTTTATATACAAAAGACAGGCAGTAACAAATGCTGGTGAGAATGTGAAGAAAAGGAATGTCTTATATACTGTTGATAAGAATGTAAATTAGTACAACCACTATGGAGAACAGTTTGGAGGTTCCTCAAAAAACCAAAAATAGAATTCCCATATGATCTGGCACTCCCACTGCTGGATATATACCCCACCCCCGCAAAAAAAAAAAAAAAAAGGAAATCAGGATATCAAAGAGATATCCGCACTTCTGTTTGTGGCAGCACTATCACAATAGCCAATATCTGGGAACAACCTAAAGGTCCATCAACAGCTGAATGGATAAAGAAAAAGACGGTACATATACACAATGGAGTACTATTCAGGCATAAAATAATGACTTTAATACTGTCATTTGCAACAACATGGATGGAACAGAAGATCATTATTTAAGTGAAATAAGCCAGGCACAGAAAGATAAACATTGGTTCCATTCCAAGATGGCCAAATAGGAACAGCTCTGGTCTGCAGCTCCCAGCATGATCAATGAAGAAGATGGGTGATTTCAGCATTTCCAACTGAAGTACCTGTTTCATCTCATTGGGACTTGTTGGACAGTGGGTGCAGCCCATGGAGGGCAAGCCGAAGTGGGGCGGGTTGTCACCTCACCTGGGAAGTGCAAGGGGTCATGGGATTTCCCATTCCTAGCCAAGGGAAGCTGTGACAGACTGTACCTGGAAAATCAGTACACTCCCACCCAAATACTGTGCTTTTCCCATAGTCTTAGCAACTGGCGGACCAGGAGATTCTCTCATGTGCCTAGCTCGGCAGGTCACACGCACACAGAGCCTTGCTCACTATCAGCACAGCAGCCTGAGATCAACCTGTGAGGCTTCAGCCTGCTGGGTGGAGGGGCATCCACCATTGCTGAGGCATGAGTAGGTAAACAAAGCAGCTGGGAAGCTCGAACTGGGCAGATCCCACTGCAGCTCAGCAAGGCCTACTGCCTCTATAGACTCCACCTCTGTGGGCAGGGTGTAGCTGAACAAAAGGCAGCAGACAACTTCTGCAGACATAAATGTCCCTGTCTGACAGCTCCAAAGAAAGCAGGGGTTCTCCCAGCATGGTGTTTGAGCTCTGAGAATGGACAGACTGCCTCCTCAAGTGGGTCCCTGAACCCCGTGTAGACTAACAGGGAGTCACCTCCCAGTAGGGGCCGACAGACACCTCATACAGGTGAGTGCCCCTCTGGGATGAAGCTTTCAGAGGAAGGATCAGGCAGCAATATTTGCTGTTCTGCAATATTTGCTGTTCTGCAGCTTCCACTGGTGATACCCAGGCAAACAGCGTCTGGAGTGGAACTCCAGCAAACTCCAGCAGACCTGCAGCTGATGGTCCTGACTGTTAGAAGGAAAACTAACAAACAGAAAGGACAGCCACACCAAAACCACATCTGTACGTCATCATCATCAAAGACCAAAGTCAGATAAAACCACAAAGATGGGGAGAAACCAGAGCAGAAAAGCTGAAAATTCTAAAAATCAGAGCGCCTCCTCTCCTCCAAAGGAACGCAGCTCCTCACCAGCAATGGAACAAAGTTGGACAGAGAATGACTTTGACAAGTTGAGAGAAGAAGGCTTCAGAAGATCAATAATAACAAACTTCTCCGAGCTAAAGGAGGATGTTTGAACCAATCACAAAGAAGCTAAAAACCTTGAAAAAAGATTGGACGAATGGCTAACTAGAAAAAAGAGCATAGAGAAGACCTTAAATGACCTGAAGGAGCTGAAAACCATGGCACATGAACTACATGATGCATGCACAAGCATCAGTAGCTGATTCAATCAACTGGAAGAAAGGTTGTCAGTGATTGAAGATCAAATGAATGAAATGAAGCAAGAAGAGAAGTTTAGAGAAAAAAAGGGTAAAAAGAAATGAATAAAGCCTCCAAGAAATATGGGACTATGTGGAAAGGCCAAATCTACGTCTGATTGGTGTACCTGAACATGACGGGGAGAATGGAACCAAGTTGGAAAACACTCTTCGGGGTATTATCCAAGAGAACTTCCCCAACCTAGCAAGGCAGGCCAACATTCAAATTCAGGAAATACAGAGAATGCCAAAAAGATACTCCTCAAGAAGAGCAACTCCAGGATACATAATTGTCAGATTCACCAAAGTTGAAATGAAGGAAAAAATGTAAAGGGCAGCCAGAGAGAAAGGTCGGGTGACCCAAAAAGGGAAGCCCATGAGACTAACAGCGGATCTCTCAGCAGAAACTTTACAAGCCAGAAGAGAGTGGGGGCCAATATTCAACATTCTTAAAGAAAAGAATTTTCAACCCAGAATTTCACATCCAGCCAAACTAAGCTTCATAAGTAAAGGAGAAATAAAATCCTTTACAGACAAGCAAATGCTGAGAGATTTTGTCACCACCAGGCCTGCCCTAAAAGAGCTCCTGAAGGAAGCACTAAACATGGAAAGGAACAACCAGTACCAGCCACTGCAAAAACATGCCAAATTGTAAAGACTGTTGATGCTCTAAAGAAACTGCATCAAGTAATGGCCAAAATAACCAGCTAACATCATAATGGCAGGATCAAATTCACACATAACAATATTAACCTTAAATGTAAATGGTCCAAATGCCCTCAATAAAAGGACACAGACTGGCAAATTGGATAAACAGTCAAGACCCATCAGTATGCTGTATTCAGGAGACCCATCTCACGTGCAAAGACACACATAGGCTCAAAATAAAGGGATGGAGGAATACTTAGCAAGCAAAGGGAAAGCAAAAAAAAAAAAAACAGCAGGGGTTGCAATCCTAGTTTCTGATAAAACAGACTTTAAACCAACAAAGATCAAAAGAAACAAAGAAGGCCATTACATAATGGTAAAGGGATCAATTCAACAAGAAGCGCTAACTATCCTAAATATATATGCCTCCAATACAAGAGCAGCCAGATTCATAAAGCAAGTCCTTAGAGACCTACAAAGAGACTTAGACTGCCACACAATAATAATGGGAGTCTTTAACACCCCACTGTCAATATTAGACAGATCAATGAGACAGAATGTTAACAAGGATATCCAGGACTTGAACTCAGCTATGCATCAAGCAAACCTAATAGACATCTACAGAACTCTCCACCCAAATCCACAGAATACACATTCTTCTCAGCACCACATCGCACTTATTCTAAAATTGACTGCATAATTGGAAGTAAAGCACTCCTTAGCAAATGTAAAAGAACAGAAATCACAACAAGTTGTCTCTCAGACAACAGTGCAATCAAATTAGAACTCAGGATTAAGAAACTCACTCAAAACTGCTCAACTACATGGAAACTGAACAACCTGCTCCTAAATGACTACTGGGTACATAAAGAAATGAAGGCAGAGATAAAGATGTTCTTTGAAACCAATGAAAACAAAGACACAACGTACCAGAATCTCTGGGACACATTTAAAGCAGTTTGTAGAGGAAAATTTATAGCACTAAATGTTCACAAAGGAAAGCAGGAAAGATCTAAAATTGGCACCCTAACATCACAATTTAAAGAACTGGAGAAGCAACAGCAAACAAATTCAAAGCTAGCAGAAGGCAAGAAATAACTAAGATCAGAGCAGAACTAAAGGAGATAGAGACACAAAAAAACTCTTCAAAAAAATCAATGAATCCAGGAGCTGTTTTTTTTTTTGAAAAGATCAACAAAATTGATAGACCGCTAGCAAGACTAATAAAGAAGAAAAGAGAGAAGAATCAAATAGACACAATTAAAAAACAATAAAGGGGATATCACCACTGACCCCACAGCAATACAAACTACCATCAGACAATACTAAAAACACCTCTATGCAAATAAACTGGAAAATCTAGAAGAAATGAATAAATTCCTGGACACATACACCCTGCCAAGACTAAACCAGGAAGAAGTTGAATCTCTAAATAGACTAATAACAGGTGCAGAAATTGAGGCAATAATTAATAGCCTACCAACCAAAAAAAGTCCAGGACCAGATGGATTCACAACTGAATTCTACCAGAGACAAAAACAGGAGCTGGTACCATTCCTTCTGAAACTATTCCAATCAATAGAAAAAGAGGGAATCCTCCCTAACTCATTTTATGAGGCCAGCATCATCCTGATACCAAAGCCTGGCAGAGAGACAAAAAAAAAGAAAAAAAGATTTTTAGACTAATATCCCTGATAAACATCGATGCAAAAATTCTCAATAAAATACTGGCAAACTAAATCCAGCAGCACATCAAAAAGCTTATCCACCACGATCAAATCGGCTTCATCCCTGGGATGCAAGGCTGGTTCGACATATGCAAATCAATAAACATAACCCATCACATAAACAGAACCAACAATAAAAACCATATGATTTTCTCAATAGGTGGAGAAAAGGCCTTCAACAAAATTCAACAGCCCTTCATGCTAAAAACTCTCAATAAATTAGGTATTGATGGGATGTATCTCAAAATAATAAGAGCTATTTATGACAAACTGACAGCCAATATCATACTGAATGGGCAAAAACTGGAAGCATTCCTTTTGAAAACTGGCTGAAGACAAGGATGCCCTCTCTCACCACTCCTATTCAACATGGTGTTGGAAGTTCTGGCCTGGGCAATCAGGCAAGAGAAAGAAATAAAGGGTATTCAACTAGGAAAAGAGGAAGTCAAATTGTCCCTGTTTGCAGATGACATGATTGTATATTTAGGAAATCCCATCATCTCAGCCCAAAATCTCCTTAAGCTGATAAGCAACTTCAGCAAAGTTTCAGGATGCAAAATCAATGTGCAAAAATCACAAGCATTCCTATACAACAATAACACACAAACAGAGAGCCAAATCATGAGTGAACTTCTATTCACAATTGCTACAAAGAGAATAAAATACCTAGGAATCCAACTTACAAGGGATGTGAAGGACCTCTTCAAGGAGAAATACAAACCACTGCTCAATGAAATAAAAGAGGACACAAACCAATAGAAGAAAATTCCATGCTCATGGATAGGAAGAATCAATATTGTGAAAGTGGCCATACTGCCTGAGATAATTTCAATGCCATCATCATCAAGCTACCAATGACTTTCTTCACAGAATTGGAAAAAAACTACTTTAAAGTTCATATGGAACCAAAAAAGAGCCAGCATTGCCAAGACAATCCTAAGCCAAAAGAACAAAGCTGGAGGCATCACACTACCTGACTTCAAGCTATACTATAAGGCTACAGTAACCAAAACAGCATGGTTCTGGTACCAAAACAGGTATACAGACCAATGGAACAGAAGAGAGGCCTCAGAAGTAACACCACCCATCTACAACCATCTGATTTTTGACAAACCTGACAAAAACAAGAAATGGGGAAAGGATTCCCTATTTAATAAATGGTGCTGGGAAAACTGGCTAGCCATATGTAGAAAGCTGAAACTGGATCCCTTCCTTATACCTTATACAAAAAGTAATTAAGATGGATTAAAGACTTAAATGTAAGACCTAAAACCATAAAAACCCTAGAAGAAAACTTAGGCAATACCATTCAGGACAAGGGATTGGCAAAGCCTTCATGACTGAAACACCAAAAGCAATGGCAACAAAAGCCAAAATTGACAAATGGGATCTAATTAAACTAAAGAGCTTCTGCACAGCAGAAGAAACTACCATCAGAGTGAACAGGCAACCTACAGAATGGGAGAAAATTTTTGCAATCTACCCATCTGACAAAGGGCTAATATCCAGAATCTACAATGAACTTAAACAAATTTACAAGAAAAAAATAAACAACCCCATCAAAAAGTGGGCAAAGGATATGAACAGACACTTCTCAAAAGAAGACATTTATGCAGCCAACAGACACATGAAAAAATGCTCATCATCACTGGCCATCAGAGAAATGCAGATCAAAACTACAATGAGATACCATCTCACGCCAGTTAGAATGGCGATCATTAAAAAATCAGGAAACAACAGATGCTGGAGAGGATGTGGAGAAATAGGAACACTTTTACACTGTTGGTGGGAGTGTACTTTAGTTCAACCATTGTGGAAGACAGTGTGGCGATTTCTCAAGGATCTAGAACTAGAAATACCATTTGACCCAGCAATCCCATTACTGGGTATATACCCAAAGATTATAAATCATTCTACTATAAAGACACATGCACACATATGTTTATTGTGGCAATATTCACAATAGCAAAGACTTGGAACCAACCCATATGTCCATCAATGATAGACTGGATAAAGAAAATGTGGCAAATATACATCATGGAATACTATGCAGTCATAAAAAAGGATGAGTTCATGTCCTTTGCAGGGACATGGATGAAGCTAGAAGCCCTCATTCTCAGCAAACTATCACAAGGACAGAAAACCAAACACCGCATGTTCTCACTCATAGGTGGGAACCAAACAATGAGAACACTTGGACACAGGGTGGGGAACATCACACACCAGGGCCTGTCGGGGGGTGGAGGGCTGGGGGAGGGATAGCATTAGGAGAAATACCTAATGTAAATGATGAGTTGATGGGTGCAGCGAACCAACATGGCACATGTATACCTATGTAACAAACCTGCACGTTGTGCACATGTACCCTAGTACTTAAAGTATAATTAAAAAAAAAAAAGAAACATTGCATGTTCCCACTCATTTGTGGGATCTAAAAATCAAAACAATTTAACTCATGGATATAGACAGTTGAAAGGTGGTTACCAGAGGTTTGGAAGGGTAGTGAGAGGAGGTGGGGATGGTTGATGGACACAAAAACATTAGTTAGAGAGAATGAATAAGACCCAGTATTTGACAGAACAACAGAGTGACTATAGTGAATAATAATTTATTTGTACATTTTAAATAACTAAAAGAGTAAAATTGGATTGTTTGTAACACAAAGGACAAATGCTTGAGGAGAAAGATACCCCATTCTTCATGATGTGATTATTATGCATTGCATGCCTGTATCAAAACATTTCATGTACCCTATAAATATATACAGCTATTATGTCCCCACAGAAATGAAAAATAAAAAAATTTAAAAACATAAATTGAATGACCACAGAGAACACTAATGACAAAGCAACAAATGGAAATTATCAAGAAAGGTACAGACAAAATACTGTGGCATTTCAAAGAAGAGAAATGTAAAATTGGGTTAAAAGGATCAAGAATGGCTTACTACTTCACTAGAAACAAAAAAGAAGTATTATTACAATTTCACTTAGTAGAAGATACCAGTCTGGGGACTACCTGGAGACACTTTTGGATCACTAGCTGTTCCTGGACCTCACTTAGCACGATAGTATATAATTGATTCTTGTTCATACAATTCTATTGCAGCAACAATATAGTTGTATGGTATATGTGTTGGCACCTTATTTTTTTTTTCAAGAGACAAGGTCTCAGTCTGTCACCAGGCTGGAGTGCACTGGTACAATTATGGCTCACTGCAGCCTTGACCTCACGGGCTCAAGTAATTCTCCCCGCCTGAGCCTTCTGAGTAGCCAGGACTACAGGCACTATGCTGCCATACATGGCTAATTATTTTATCATTTTTTTTTTGTTCTTTGTTTTTTTCTGAGAGAACTAATTTTTTTTGTAATTATCTTACCATTCATGTCCCTTAAAAACAGCTGTACTGAGGTAGAACTGACATGCAGTAATCTGCACACATTTAAAGTGCACAATTTGATGAGTTTTCACACATGTATATACTTATGAAACCATCATCATAATCAAGACAGTGAATATATCCATCACCCCAAAGTATCCCCTTTGTAATTTCTCCCTCCTGTCTCTAGTTATGGGCTCTCCCCTTCCTACCCTGTTCCTATTCCCAGGGATCTGCTGATTTGCTCTTCATCACTATGCACTAGTTTATCTAGAATTTTATATAAATGGAATAACACAGTATGGATTCTTTTTTGTCTGGCTTCTTTCACTCAGTATAATTGTTCTGAGATTCATCCACATTGTTGACTGTATCAATAATTTCATTTTTAGCAAAAACTCCAGCGTTTTAAAGGTATAATTTATACATCATAAAATTCGCCCATTGTAAGTGTACAATTCAATTATTTATAGTAAATTTCCAGAACTGTGCAGTCATCACCACAATGCAATTTTAGAACACTTTCACCACCCCCAGAAGATCCTTTGTGTCCAGTTGCAATTACTCCCTGCTCCCACGTGTGGATTCAGGCAACTATCACCTGTCTCTATAGTTTGTCTTTTTGGGATATTTCAGATAAATGGAATAAGCAAAATGTGGTCTTTTGCATATAGCTTTTCCATTTAGCAAATGTTCTTGAGTTGATACATGTTGTAGCATGTATCAGTACTTCCTCGTGACTTTGAGTAAAGCAAAAATTTCTTAGATATGGCACCAAAATCACAATCTATAAAAGAAAAGTTGATAAATTGGATGTTATCACAATGAAAACTTCTGTTGTTTGCAAGACACTGTTAGGAGAATAAAAACGCAACCCATAAAATAGTAGCAAATATTTGCAAAGCATATATTTGATGTAGGTATTGTGTCCAGAACATATAAAGAACTGTCATACACAATAATAAGAAAATAAACAACCAATGAAAAATGTGTGAAATATTTGAATAAGCATTTCACCAAGGGAAATATATGTATGGCAAATAAGCACATGAAAAGGGGCTCAATATCATTCACGCAAATCAAAATCAAAATGAGATATCACAACACACATAGTAGATGGATATAATTTAAAAGACTGACCATACCAAGTGTTAGCATATGGAGCTATGGAGGGGATACCAAGTAGTATACCCACATTACTCACCTTAAAAAGCTGTTTGTCAGTTTTTTTAAAAGTTTAAACACCGCATGTTCTCACTCATAGGTGGGAATTGAACAATGAGAACATATGGACACAGGAAGGGGAACATCACACTCTGGGGACTGTTGTGGGGAGGGGGGAGGGATAGCATTAGGAGATATACCTAATGCTAAATGACGAGTTAACGGGTGCAGCACACCAGCATAGCACATGTATACATATGTAACTAACCTGCACATTGTGCACATGTACCCTAAAACTTAAAGTGTAATAATAAAAATAAAATAAAATAAAAGTTTAACATACACCTACCTTGTAATCCAGCTACCCAAGAAAAGTGAAAACATGCCCATATAGAGACTTGTACATAAATGTTTGTGGAAGCTTTATCTGTAATAGTCAAAACTTGAAAGCAACTCATATGTCCATCAGTGAGTAAATGTATAAACAATTTGTATATCTATATAATGAAATCCTATTCAGCAACATTTTTTTTATTTTTTGTAGAGTGGTCTTGCTGTGCTGCCCATGCTTGTCTCAAATTCCTGACCTCAAGCAATCCTCCCATCTCACCCTCCCGAAGCACTGGGATTACACAACTAACCTGGGGCCTGACATTCTTAGAAAACCTCTGGGCTCTCTTATTTACCTTGCACACTAGAGCTTGACCAGGTTATAGGTTCAATAGCTGCTAAGGGCTGATGCAGAAAAAGTATCCTCTTCCTTATAAGAATAGGGGCTTCTTAAATATTTGTTAACCTGAACTGAATTGGACTTAACATGAGCCGAATAAAAGATCTGAGTAGTTCGTGAATTAAACAATTAAAATCAAAATCATACAACCACATTTGACTTCATTAACTCACCTTTACCCTCCCTATCACCCAGATAACAATGGTAGAGCCCAGTATTGGCAGAGCTCCTGTCAGAGACAAGAGTCCTCAAGGAACTGAAAAGGAAAGAGAAGCAAGGAGTGAAAATATTGAGTGCCTACTATGTGCAAGGCTAATTCATAAAGGAACCATAGAAGACCCTTCAGAATCCCAAACTTGAAAAATACTACACGGTTGCCCAGACAATGTGACATTTACTCGCTTGTGTATGTAAAGATTGGACTAAATTGTAATTGCACAGCCACCATGGAAATGGATAACTAGATAGTGCATTAAGCTGGTAATATTAAACTTCTCATAGGTGGGTCTTAGAAATTCATAAACTTTCTTTCTTGTCCCACGCTAGGGAAAAATATAAGCTTTGTCTAAACACAAAACCAGGACAGAGCCAAGTTAATTTTCTGCACAGATGAGTAGAATCATATAATTTCAGGATCAGAAAGGAATTTTTTTTTTTTTTTTTTTTTGAGACGGAGTCTCGCTCTGTAGCCCAGGCTGGAGTGAAGTGGCGCGATCTCGGCTCACTGCAAGCTCCGCCTCCCGGGTTCACGCCATTCTCCTGCCTCAGCCTCTCCGAGTAGCTGGGACTAAAGGCGCCCGCCACCATGCCCGGCTAATTTTTTGTATTTTTCAGTAGAGACGGGGTTTCACCGTGGTTCCTATCTCCTGACCTCGTGATCCGCCCGCCTCGGCCTCCCAAAGTGCTGGGATTACAAGCGTGAGCCACCGCACCCAGCCAGAAAGGATTTTTATACATTCAACATTCAGTCACTAGAACTTTATTGATGTACGGAGACCCGGGACAAGCTAAACAAACTTAAAAAAAATATGTTTATTGCCTGATTGACAAAATATAAAAGACAACTCTGAGTAATTTTGCACCAGCAACACCAGCAACTTTACCCAGACTGTAGTAGGTTACATATGTCAACTTCTTACCTAGAGAAAAAGGAACAATTTGGAGAGGGAGAAGAAAGTGGAGAAGATCTAAGAAATGATTATCTGAGTACAAGGGGGGTTCGAACTCCAATATTGCAGCTGTAGGTTCAGGTTTCTACTTTTAACACTAGACTATATTTTTTATTTTTGCATTTCTTTTATTTTCCTTTTTTCTTTTTTTTTTTTTTTTAGTAGAGTTCTTTTAGAAAGTTCCAGCCTGTTTCTACTGGTTAAGAATAAACCGAAGGGGCCAGGTGTAGTGGCTCATGCCTGCAGTCCCAGCACTTTGGGAGGCTGAAGCGAGCAGATCACCTGAGGTCGGGGAGTTCGAGACCAGCCTGGCCAACATGGTGAAACCTCATCTCTACTAAAAATACAAAAATTAGCTGGGTGTGGTGGCGTATGCCTGCAATCCCAGCTACTCAGGAGGCTGAGGCAGGAGAATTGCTTGAACCCGGGAGGCGGAGGTCAGAGTGAGTGGAGATCACGCCACTGCACTCCAGCCACTCCAGCCTGGGCAGAGTGAGACTCTGTCTAAAATAAATAAAATTTTAAAAATTTTAAAAAAAGAATAAACTGAAGGAAAGTGTTTATTTTGTTAGCGCTTGGACCACAGATAAAGGAATAGTAGCTAGCCTCTGGAGGCCTTGCAGGCAGGAATTAAAGTTGCCATAGGACAACAAAAACTTAGAAGAAAAGCATTCAAGTTGCTCCTCCTTCAAGAAAGCCCATCTCTGCTCATCTCTTGGAGATTTATTATACTTTGTTAGATTATTGAACATAATTTAATTGAAGAGAAGAGATATATGCTTATGAAAAGTTAACTACAAACAGTTAATCTCCAAAAGTATATAATATATGCCAAATTAGTGATATAAACATTATATGCTATTATAGTTTATAAGGAGAAGAGTGCAAGGTTCTTTAAGCCATTCGTCCTTTAAGGAAAACTATTTCTAAGCCATCCCAGACAATATACTTGATATTTTTAATGTTCTAACACCTATTCCCAGCAATCCAGATCCCTGGATGTAAAGTTCCAAATTACTTCCCCTCTTAACTTTATAACCAAGTGTTTAGAAGAGAAGATAGAGGAAATACCCTGGTTTCATAGAGAGAGGAATATTTTATAATAGTGTGTTCATTTTTAGATACAGATGCTACATGCACACAGCAGCAAACATCTGTGATGAGCCCTTGTCTGTATTCCAAGTTTCCCCCTGGGACTGTAAAAACAGATGGAGAAAAAAGAAGGAGACACAGAATTCAGTGACTAGCCCTAAATCTGTCAGTAAAGATTTGATGCCCCATTACACACTCTGGATCTATACATAAGGCTGCTAAGTTCTTATGACCCTTCTGGACTGCTTCTACAGTTGTTAACTGCCTTTTCAATCTTATGATTTCAGCGTGGGCTTCCTCTAATATTACACCGTAAAAGGCATTGATCACCATAAGAAGGAACATTTGTGAAGGTACTCCAGTGCCAGAAAGAGGTATACCTGAATTTTCCAAATGAACTTTGCTTTTTCAACTTGCAGTTATCTTAACAAAGTAACTTACTTCATTATTCTCATGAAAATAAAATCAATTCTATTTATGTTTGTTGCTAGCTTTTATTAACCCATTTGTTTTCTGCTAAGACGGCTTTTACAATACTGTATTGTAACCTCTTCACACTTCTAGGCTATCATTCCTATCCCCCACTAGAAAATGAGCTGCTTGAAGGCAGGGATGAGGTCTTAAGTATCTTATATTTCCAAAGAAACTCTCTGTATTCATCTAGTGGAGGGTAACATTATTGGGGGATCACGGTAAATTCTAAAAAACAAATTAAATGCTGTTTCATACAAGTAAAGCCATAATCTGTGAAATGAGTGGCTTGTAGTAAATGATCTCTACCATTCTAGGATTCACTACTTGCTTAAAAGTTTTACAATCTTCTTTTTATGGCTTAATACAAATTGTTGACTTCATTATAAATAAACAACTGAACCTAAATATTGAAATTTTAGAAAAGTTTATTTTGGTCTGCAAGGACTGGGAAGTTATTAATGAGACTATAGACCATCTGTTTCTTTGTATATTTTTATAGTTATTTATCAGTTTTATTTAGCATCTTTCAAAGATTTGAGAATTTCAAATTTAATTATAACATGTAATGGACAAATGATTAGTCTATATCAATGATATGGGTGGGATTTTTTATTTTTTAGATACAGGGTCTCACTGTTTTGCCCAGGCTAGTCTCAAACTCCTGAGCTCAAGCAATCCTCCTGCCTCAGCCTCTTGAGTAGCCAGGATTACAAGCATGTGCCACCACAACTGACATTATCTGTGTTTTTTAACATTATGGTTAGCCTTATGACTTAGTAGTTTCCTTGATATATTAGGAAGCAACTTTACTTACACAGCAACTTCAGACTCTGACATTGGAAAGATTTTAATTTATATTGGAATGAAAAGATAACTCCAAATAGTTTTAAATGACAAATAATACCTTCAAATGTTAAACTTGTCCTATCATTAATTTAGTATTCACTCAACACTTACTGAGCATTTATGGGCAAGATACATATGTGCTAGGCCCTGTGTGGGATGCTTTTTTATATATCAACCAGATAGTCTGGGAGATAAGATATACAAATCATTGATTTGGAAGATAGATTTAAGTTTCTCTAGAAGTTCATCAAAGATAGAAATTACTTCAGAAAGAGGCTGAGGGAAGACTTAGTCAAGAAAGTGTAATCTGAGCTGAATGATGAGTAGTTTTTGCATATGCAAAGAAGGAGGAAAGGACATTTCAGGAAGGAGGAAAGGCCATTTCAAGAAGAAAAAAAGACAGTGAAAAAAGCCAGGTGGGAAAGCTTATGGCACATGTCACTGGCATACTAAAATAGTTGTTTCTTCTAACTATACAGTGTACAAAAGAGAGAAGTGAGAGAGAAACTTGGAAAGGTAAATTGCACCCAGACTGTAGAGAGCCTTAAATATCAGGCCAAGAAGTCTAGATGTTATTCTGAAGGCATTCTAAATCACTGAAGATTTTAAGGAAGACATGTCATAATTGAAAACTACAATGTGTAAAAAATTATTCCGGAAAGGGTTTGTAGCAAGATAGATTGAGAGTTGATAGTGGTAGGAAGGCCTGCTGGTAATTATCTAATACCTTTCAAGTGTGGCTCATCTATAATATGAACAAGTTCTGAGGAGTTAATGTACAGTATGGTGGCTGTAGTTAATATTATATTATTTACTTGAAATTATTATATTATTTACTTGAAATTTGATATGGAAGATCTTATTTCAAAACCACAATGAAATACCATCTCACACAAGTTGGAATGGCTATTATTTAAAAATCAAAACATAAGGCAGGCCAGGCATGGTGGCTCACACCTGTAATCCCAGCACTTTGGGAGGCCAAGGCAGGCAGATAACCAGAGGTCAGGAGTTCAAGACCAGCCTGGCCAACATGATGAAACCCAGTCTCTACCAAAAAAATACAAAAATTAGCTGGGCGTGATGGCACACGCCTGTAACTGTAATCCGTTACTCGGGAGGCTGAGGTGGGAGAATAGCTTGAACCTGGGAGGCGGAGGTTGCAGTGAGCCGAGATTGTGCCATTGCACTCCAGCCCAGGTGACAGAGTGAGACCCTGTCTCAAAAAAAAAAAAAAATTAAAACATAATAAAACATAGCAGATGCTGGTGAGATTGTGGAGAAAAAAAAAACACTTATACACTGTTGGTGGGAGTGTAAATTAGGTCAGCCATTGTAGAAAGTAGTGTGGCAATTCCTCAAAGAGCTAAAAATAGAACTATCATTCCACCCAGCAATTCCATTACTGGGTATATACCCAAAGGAATATAAATCATTCTACCATAAAGACGTGTGCATGCATATGTTCACTGCAGCACTAGTCACAATAGCAAAGACATGCAATCAACCTAAATGTCCCTGAATAGAAGACTGGATAAAGAAAATGTAGTATGTATGCACCATGAAATACTATGCAGCCATAAAAAAGAATGACATTATGTCCTTTGCAGGAACATGGATTGAGCTGGAGGCCATTATCCTTAGCAAACTAACACAGAAACAGAAAACCAAATACCACATGTTCTCACTTATAAGTGGGAATTAAATGGTGATAACACATGGACACAAAGAAGAGAACAACAGACACTGGGACCTACCTGAGGGTAGAGGCTGTGAGGAGGGAGAGGATAAGAAAAAATAAGTAATGTGTACTAGGATTAATACCTAGGTGATGAAATAATCTGTACAACAAATGATTGTATAGATAAAAAAGAACACATGACACAAGTTTACCTATATAACAAACCTGCCCATGTACCCCTGAACCTAAAATAGAAGTGAAAAAAAAGAAAGTAGATCTTAAGCATTCTTACCCCCCCCCCAACACACACACACACAAATGGTATATGAGGTAATGGATGTGTTGATTAACTTTGTTAGGGAAATGATTTCACAGTGTATACTCACATGAAATCATCACATTGTACAACTTAGAATACGCAATTTCTATTTGTCAATTATATCTCAATAAAGCCGAAAAGGGCTATTACCAAAATTTTCAACAGCACTATCTAGTGCATTACAAGATAATATTGCCCAGTTTAGAAAAAACACTTGACATGGAACTAAGAAAAAGATTAACTTTAGGCAGTTTTTTTTCTTCCACAACTACACCTGAGTTCACAACCAATGGTGAATGAGCCAGGTAACTAGAAAGCAAACTGAGAAATAATGCAGGAGTTTGGAATAGGAGTTACATTTTTGTCTATGGCCTCAGAATGATTCTTCTTCAATTTTGGGGGGTGGGGAGGATTCAGGGGCTACATGTGCAGGTTTGTTACATGGGTATATTGTGTGATGCTGAGGATTAGGGTACAAATGGTTCCATCACTGAGGTAGTGAGTATAGTGCCCAATAGGTAGTTTTTCAGCCCACAATCCTCTCCCTTCCACCCTACCTCCTATGGTAGTCTCCAATGTATACTGTTCCCATCTTTATGTCCATATATACCCAATGTTTAGCTCCCATTTACAAGTGAGAACATGCAGTATTTGATTTTCTGGTCCTGCATTAATTTTCTTAGGATAATGGCCTCCAACTGCATACATGTTGCAGCCAAGGACGTTATTTAATGCTTTTTTATGGCTGCCTAGTATCAAATAGTGTATACATACCATGTTTTCTTTATCAGTCCACCATGGACAAGCATCTGAGTTGATTCCATGTTTTTGCTATTGTGAATTTTGCTGCAATGAACACATGAGTATATGTGTCTTTATAGAAGAACAATTTATACACCTGTGGGTATTTACCCAGTAATGGGATTGTTTGGGTAAAATGGTAGTTCTGTTTTATGTTTTTTCAGAAATCTCCAAACTGCTTTCCAGTAGCTGAACTAACTCACATTCCCACCAGCAAGGTATAAGTGTTCCCTTTTTGCAAACTCGCCGACATCTATTATTTTTGTTACTTTTTAATAACAGCCATTTTTACTGGTGTGAGATGGTATCTCACTGTGGTTTTGACTTGCATTTCTCTGATTAGTGATGTTGAGCATTTTTTCGTATGTTTGTTGGCTGCATCTATGTCTTGTTTTGAGAAGTGTCTGTTCATGTCCATTGCCCATTTTTTTAACAGGTTTTTTTTTGCATGTTGATTTAAGTTTCTTATAGATTCTGGATATTAGACCTTTGTTGGATGTATAGTTTGCAAATATTTTCTCCCATTCTATAGGTTGTCTGTTTACTCTGTTGATAGCTTCTTTTGCTGTGTGGAAGCTCTTTAGTATAATTAGATCCCAATTGTTAATTTTTGCTTTGCTGCAATTGCTTTTGATGTTTTCGTCATGAAATCTTTGGTAGGTACTATGTCGAGAATGGTATTTCCTAAGTTTTCTCGTAGGCTTTCTTTACTTTTAGGTCTTATGTTTAAGTCTTTCATTCATCTTGAGTTTATTTTTGTAGATGGTGAAAGGATGGGGTCCAGATTCAATCTTCTGCATATGGCACTAGCCAGTTATCTCAGCACCATTTTTTTGAATAGGAAGTCACTTCTCCATGGCTTGTTACTGTTGACTTTGTTGAATATCAGATGGTTGTAGGTGTGCAGATTTATTTCTGGAATCCCTATTCTGTGTCATTGGTCCATGTGTCTGTTTTTGTACCTGTATTATGCTGTTTGGTTACTCTAGCTTTGTACTGTAGTTTAAAGTAGTGTGATGCCTCCGGCTTTGTTCTTTTTGCTTAGTTTGCTTTGGGTGTTCAGGCTCTTTTCTGGTGCCATATGAATTTTAGAAGTGATTTTCTTAATTCTGTGAAAAGTGCTGTTGGTAGTTTCATAGGAATAGCATTAAATCTGTAAATGGGCAGTATGGCCATTTTAACAATATTGATTCTTCCCCTCCAGGAGCATAAAATGTATTTCTATTTGTTTATATCATATCTGGTTTCTTTGAGCAGTGTTTTGTAATTCTCATTGTAGAGATCTTCCACCTCCCTTGCTAGCTGTATTCCTAAGAATTTTACTCTTGTTGTGGCTATTGTGAATGGGCTTGTGTTCTTGATGTTTTCCATGTTGCTTGCTCTCTCTCCCTGTCTTTCTGGGATGCCAATGAGTCATGGGTTCAGTCTATTTACATAATCCCATATTTCTTGGAGGTTTTGTTCTTTCTTTATGTTTTTCCTTATTTTTGTCTGACTGAGTTATTTCTGAGAACTGATCTTTGAGCTCTGAGATTTTTTCCTCACCTTGGTCTATTCTGCTGTTAATATTTCCATTTGTACTATGAAATTCTTGAAAAGAGTTTTTCAGCTCTAGAAGATCAGTTTGGTTCTTTCTTAAAAGGGCTATTTTATCTTTAACTCTTGTATCATTTTATTGGATTCATGAGCTTCTTTGAATTGGGTTTCAACTTGCTCCTGAATTTCAATGAGCTTTGTTGCCATACAGATTTTTGAATTCTATGTCTGTCATTTCAACTATTTCAATCTGGTTAAGAGTCATTCCTGGGGAGCTAGTGTGGTCATTTGGCAATAAGAAGATACTCTGGATTTTAGAGTTGTCAGAGCTCTCCCACTGGTTCTTTCTTGTTTGTGTAGGCTGATGTACCTTTAAGGTTTGATGTTGCTGTTCTTTGCATATGGCTTTTTGCTTTTATATTATTTGATGCCCTTGAGGGTTTGACTGTGGTATAACTTAAGTTTAGTCAATTGACTTTGTTTCTGGATACTTTCAGGGGTCCGAGATTCAGCCCACTCCTCCTGAGCTGTGTGTTTTAACCTTGGTGGGCTGGGACCAGGCCCACAATTTTTTCACTGGTCCCTCAAGATTAAGGACCTGCTGTGCTGGAGGAACCAAGGTGTTCCCAGTATACTGACAACAACACATCAATAGGGACTGCCAGCAAAAGCACTTCAGGGGTGTGGGGGGTTGGCAGTAGGGTCTTTGCACATGTACTGGTGAAGTGGTGGGGAGAGGCTGCAGGCAACTGCATGCTAGTGGCAGTCTATCTACAAAAGCTCTCCGACTGTTATGCAGGGTCATCTGGTGAAAGAGCTATGGTGGTGGCTGCTAGCAAGTTCTTTGGCTGGGCAGCTGAGGCTGTGCTGCAAGCAGGTGTGGCCAGGCAGGGACCCTGGGAGAGTCCAGCAAACAAGGGGGTCCTCAGATCATACTACCCCTACCCTATGAGCAAGATAGCCCTACTCTGTCCAGGTCTGGCAGCCAACAAAGGATGAAGCTACTTAGAGGAGTATGGCGATCCTTGGGGTATGTGTAACCGTGGCCATGCTCCACTATAGTCATTCTGGTGCCAAATACTCTGGGCTCTGTGAAGGCTGGATTTCTGTCTCTGCCAACTCTCTGAGAAGTTCTCCCTGCTAGCTCAAATGTCCGTGGAGATCATGAGGTCTCCTGCAGCTAAGATTCCAAATGTCCATGGCCCAAATGTCCTTGGGGCACTCCATGCCTATTTCACTCATCTCTTCCCCAGGAGCTGCTCTGGGCCAGGAATGAGTCTTAGTACTTGGTACCCCTGTGCAGCATTCTCAGCTTCCTCCCCTTTCAGCCTTGGGTCTCCATCCTCCATCTGTCCACTTTCAATGCCTTTTTTCCAAGGATCAATTTGTAGTGTGCCAATCTCCTTCACAGTCTGGTCTTTTGGTGGAAGAAGCTGTTTCTGACTGCATATAATTGGCCATCTTGGCTCAGATAATCTATCCAATTTTTATCTTATGCCAAAAGTTCTTGGTAATAATAATAATAATAATGACTTTTTTAATGAAAGGGAAAAAATTGAACAACCAGCTGGGATGGCTAGATGGATGGACGCTACATCCTCAATAGCAAATATAATTGTGAGCGGTAGTAAACCTAGGAAGTTACATCCTACCTGCAACAACTACCATAGCTATCTGTTTCTGTATCCCTAGTAAAGATCAGTCCCCTTCATGGCTGGCAGTTTTTGCATACTCAAGCAGTCTTCCCACCTTGCAAACCCCAACACGTCTCTTACAAGGGAGCAGGAGTTGTGTAAAAGGCCAACATCAGACTTCAATCAAAGATTATCTGATATGTTACATACTGAGTCCCTTCAACCTTTGTAAAGAATAAAAGAGGATAATCTAGAGAAATATGAGAGAAATCACTACTTCTACACTACAGTATCTCACCTCAAGCCTTCTCTGATCAGAACTTATTGACTGCCCTCAGTGACAGAGCTGAAATAGACTAGAGTAAGTATCAACTATAAGAGAAATCCTTCCTATAAGAGAAATAACTGTATATTGCTAAACAGTAAAGTCTAGGAAGTCTAGAAAGAGAACAAGAATGAATGGCTACAACGTTTTTCTCACCAAACAAGTATATTCCAACTACTTGTACTACATATTTCTTCAGAGCCTTAAATAATGGTGCAGATTTTAGAAATGTATTTTATCACTCTAAAACATTTTTCTCATCATTAAATAACTATATGGCTTCTAAGGTTTCTCTTACCATGGAGTTCTGCAGTTATAGGTAGAGTCAACCATGTTCTAGATTAATACTCTCCCCCAGGGGAGGGAGTTTCATTAACAGCAAATTAGATTATTTTCCATAGGTATGGGTGGCACTCAACAGATATTACCAAGGAAGCCTTCTTCTCGAGGGAACCAAGCATTTTCTTTTTTTATTATTATTATTATACTTTAAGTTCTAGGGTACATGTGCACAACGTGCAAGTTTGTTACATATGTATACATGTGCCATGTTGGTGTGCTGCACCCATTAACTCATCATTTACCTTAGGTGTATCTCCTAATGCTATCCCTCCCCCCTCCCCTCACCCCATGACAGGCCCCGGTGTGTGATGTTTCCCTTCCTGTGTCCATGTGTTCTCATTGTTCAATTCCCACCTATGAGTGAGAACATGCGGTGTTTGGTTTTTGTTCCAGTTGCAATAGTTTACTGAGAATGATGATTTCCAGTTTCATCCACGTCCCTACAAAGGACATGAACTCATCATTTTTTATGGCTGCATAGTATTCCATGGTATATATATGCCACATTTTCTTAATCCAGTCTATCATTGTTGGACATTTGGTTTGGTTCCAAGTCTTTGCTATTGTGAATAGTGCCGCAATAAACATACATGTGCATGTGTCTTTATAGCAGCATGATTTATAATCCTTTGGGTATATACCCAGTAATGGGATGGCTTGGTCAAATGATATTTCTAGTTCTAGATCCTTGAGGAATCGCCACACTGTCTTCCACAATGGTTGAACTAGTTTACAGTCCCACCAACAGTGCAAAAGTGTTCCTATTTCTCCACATCCTCTCCAGCACCTGTTGTTTCCTGACTTTTTAATGATTGCCATTCTAACTGGTGTGAGATGGTATCTCATTGTGGTTTTGATTTGCATTTCTCTGATGGCCAGTGATGATGAGCATTTTTTCATGTGTCTGTTGGCTGCATAAATGTCTTCTTTTGAGAACTGTCTGTTCATATCCTTTGCCCACTTTTTGATGGGGTTGTTTGTTTTTTTCTTGTACATTTGTTTGAGTTCATTGTAGATTCTGGATATTAGCCCTTTGTCAGATGAGTAGATTGCAAAAATTTTCTCCCATTCTGTAGGTTGCCTGTTCACTCTGATGGTAGTTTCTTTTGCTGTGCAGAAGCTCTTTAGTTAATTAGATCCCATTTGTCAATTTTGGCTTTTGTTGTCATTGCTTTTGGTGTTTTAGACATGAAGTCCTTGCCCATGCCTATGTCCTGAATGGTAATGCCTAGGTTTTCTTCTAGGGTTTTTATGGTTTTAGGTCTAATATTTAAGTCTTTAATCCATCTTGAATTACTTTTTATATAAGGTGTAAGGAAGGGATCCAGTTTCAGCTATCTACATATGGCTAGCCAGTTTTCCCAGCACCATTTATTAAATAGGGAATCCTTTCCCCATTTCTTGCTTTTGTCAGGTTTGTCAAAAATCAGATGGTTGTAGATGTGTGGTATTATTTCTGAGGGCTCTGTTCTGTTCCATTGGTCTATATCTCTGTTTTGGTACCAGTGTTTTGGTACCAGTACCATGCTGTTTTGGTTACTGTAGCCTTGTAGTATAGTTTGAAGTCAGGTAGCGTGATGCCTCCAGCTTTGTTCTTTTGGCTTAGGATTGATTTGGCGATGTGGGCTCTTTTTGGGAGCCAAGGATTTTCATCCAGATTTTATTATCTAAAACAATTCAGAGATTTTCCAATAAATAGGTATAAATATAGATATATTCATACATGTGAAACTGCTTCTTAAAGCTTTTCTCTAATAGAAAAACAAGTTCATTTGAAAGGAAAACCTACCGAATTGTACTACAGTAGTATGATTTAAAATACAGGAGGGCTGTTTCACCTAGGTCTTGAAGATTTAGAGGAAGTCCATCAGAAAAACATGGGTGGGAAAGGACAAAAAAAAAGTTTTCTGGATACCTGTAGGATACGGACTCTTCTCCGGAGGATAAGGTACAGCTGAATCCCTCCTCAATGCCTCACTACTCTTGCTTGCTGCTGTGGTCAAAAAGTATACATAGTGACACTATGAAATAAAACATTAGTACTTCCTGTAATTTATGGTCTAGTTAAAATTGACAATTTTTTTTATTTATTATAGGCACAAAGCAGACATTCGTAGAGAAACATGGATGAAACAGGAAATCTGACAGTATCTTCTGCCACATGCCATGACACTATTGATGACTTCCGCAATCAAGTGTATTCCACCTTGTACTCTATGATCTCTGTTGTAGGCTTCTTTGGCAATGGCTTTGTGCTCTATGTCCTCATAAAAACCTATCACAAGAAGTCAGCCTTCCAAGTATACATGATTAATTTAGCAGTAGCAGATCTACTTTGTGTGTGCACACTGCCTCTCCGTGTGGTCTATTATGTTCACAAAGGCATTTGGCTCTTTGGTGACTTCTTGTGCCGCCTCAGCACCTATGCTTTGTATGTCAACCTCTATTGTAGCATCTTCTTTATGACAGCCATGAGCTTTTTCCGGTGCATTGCAATTGTTTTTCCAGTCCAGAACATTAATTTGGTTACACAGAAAAAAGCCAGGTTTGTGTGTGTAGGTATTTGGATTTTTGTGATTTTGACCAGTTCTCCATTTCTAATGGCCAAACCACAAAAAGATGAGAAAAATAATACCAAGTGCTTTGAGCCCCCACAAGACAATCAAACTAAAAATCATGTTTTGGTCTTGCATTATGTGTCATTGTTTGTTGGCTTTATCATCCCTTTTGTTATTATAATTGTCTGTTACACAATGATCATTTTGACCTTACTAAAAAAATCAATGAAAAAAAATCTGTCAAGTCATAAAAAGGCTATAGGAATGATCATGGTCGTGACCGCTGCCTTTTTAGTCAGTTTCATGCCATATCATATTCAACGTACCATTCACCTTCATTTTTTACACAATGAAACTAAACCCTGTGATTCTGTCCTTAGAATGCAGAAGTCCGTGGTCATAACCTTGTCTCTGGCTGCATCCAATTGTTGCTTTGACCCTCTCCTATATTTCTTTTCTGGGGGTAACTTTAGGAAAAGGCTGTCTACATTCAGAAAGCATTCTTTGTCCAGCGTGACTTATGTACCCAGAAAGAAGGCCTCTTTGCCAGAAAAAGGAGAAGAAATATGTAAAGTATAGTTTAAACCCATTTCCAGTCCAAACCAATGAAAATAGTTTCCCAAATAAGTATTTTGTCAAATCATTTACAAAAAAAATAAAAATTTTACTTAATATTTTACAAATACTTAACTATTTGGGCCTACAACTCTATCTCATTTATGCATCCACATGATTAGATATTTATAGATATTTTAAGTGCTAAAAATTCGGTCCACAACTATGAACTGAATTATAAATAATTTTGACCACTCACCAGAATTTGGAGAATATTTTTATCTTTGCACTATAAAATATGTCTTATATTAAAGTTTTCCTCTTCAAATAAAAGCTTTACAAACGATAAAATATATAAAATTAGTCAATAAAAATACATGCAAGCTAAAAGTTATAAAATATAAAACTAGATATAAAATTGGCAAATAGTTCTGAATCATTCTAACATATTCCTTTGCATGCATGCCATCAGATGAGAACTGGAGATGACTCAGGAGCTACATAAAACGTACTGTCACCCTTCTTTGTAGTACTGATTCGCTAGGCAAATTAGGGCCATTTCTTCCAAAAGAGAATGTAAAAGTGCTAGAACAGACTAGTATTCAGCTAAAGGGTCCTAAAAGCACCATACAATGTTCAATATGGCAACAGGAGAAATCTGGTCAAAAGCCAGTTTGTCTCCAGTTTTCTTCTGCCTTTGCCTCAGGCTCCCAAAATTGAATAGTGGAGTTTTAGCTGCTCAGTGAGGTTCCTGTAGAGATTTCTCTCCATCCATGACATATAATTCTTCCTTAAGAAGCCAGACAACTGGCACTCCTATATATAAATAGAAGTAATTAAAAACTTATCTGAAGAAGAGAAAAGGAAAAGGAATCTACTTTTCTATATGCCAATTGCTGGGATCAAAATAAACTACAAAGGATTTATGAAGAAAATTGTGAATGTTCACATTACAAATTCTTTTAAGAAGTGCATACATTTATGTATATGTATACAACTATATGTAAGAGATTTTGCTGTATGATATGCATTATGGGTGAAAGTTCACGATAAGTTTTATTATTGCTTTATTACTTTTTATTGGTATGTTGACAGGAATATCATGGATATGTTTACAGTGACTTTTATATTACAGTGGACGCTTTGATCTTAAAACAGCCACAACAACTCATCTACGGCTGAAATATAATATGCGTGGACAAGCTTTTGCTGAAGTGTAGTGTGTCCTTTAAGTTTGTTTTTTAAAAAGTAACTTACCTCAGAAGAAATAAATAACTATAAAGAAAAAAGAAAGCTTTGGGAAAATTTTCTATCTGAATCTGCCATGTGTACATTATTTCTATTTCATTTCTAATGTTGTAGTCCCTTGGGGAAAAAAATTACAAAACATAAATGGAAAGGACCTCTAAGGCATAGTAATAGCTTGTGCCCATTTATTTTTAATATACCTGTGACCTGGCCGTTTCTATGCTCTTACCCTATACTATTTTTCCCTTGCTGGAGACAAAGATCAAACATAATATTTATCACAAAATTCAATCCTCATTTCTCATTTACTGGGCCTTCTGCTATCCAGCAAGCAGCATAGTATGGTAGAAGAGCACTAGATTGGAATCCAGAAGACCTGGATGCTAACCTGGTCTCTATTGCTTACAGTTATGTAACTTTAAGCAAATGACATAAACTCTAATCCTCAGCTTCCTTATTTGTAAAATGGTAATAATAATACTTATCCTGCATTTTTTATAGGGCATTTGTAAAACTCAAATGAGATCAGGAATGTTAAAGTTTTTAAAAACATATAACAAGATATAATGTTTAAGTATTTAGAGGTAGTTCTGTTACTTAAAATTACTGAGTCATATTTACTACATGGATTCTCAGATTTGAAAGAATTTGAACAAAAATAGCCATAGTTAAATCCTACTCCACATCAAAGAATCTTGTGGGTTATTTATTTCTTCCAGGCTTTTGCCTATGTTATCATTTCCAGTCATAGTCCCACTTCCTCCCACACAGCAACATACCATAAAACCTTCAATTACTTGCAAGCCCATCATAAATTTGCTTTTTTTCATGTCTTATGTACTTATAGTCTCTACCACACTGCATAGTACTTAATGTTTTCACCAATTTTTCCACATGTTAATATTGTCTCCCAAAGTGGAGTTATCACTTTGTGGAATTATAAATTCCTTGAGGTTGAAAATTATGTATTTAAGTGGTAGTATCTAACATTTAATAAACTCTAATTATATACTATATTCTATTTTAAGTGTTTTACCCATATCAATGAATTTTATGCTTACAACTGCCCTGCAAGGTATGTACCATTATTATGCCTGCTTTGCTGAATTAAAAACTGAGGTGAGGTCATGGAACTTGCTCAGTCAGTCAGCTAGTAAGCACCAGAACCAAGGTTCAAACCCAGGCAGTCTGATTTCACAACCCATGTACTTAATTTGCTATAATATCCTGCGGGACCATTTTCAGGCAAAAAGCTTCAGCTGTGGGAGACAAATAGGTTCTACAGATCTGTTTTTCAACATTATGCCTACAGTTAACAATACAATATTGTATATTTAAAAGTTTGTTAAGAGGATATATTTCATGTAAGGTGCTCTTACCACAGTAAAAGATATACAAATACAGAGAGAAAGAGAAATATAGAAAATTAAAGTTTATTTTTTAATGATGTTTAAATGACTTATTCATTTATTTTAAAAACTAGGTTTAATTAAACTACATGCTTATATCTTTTAATTATATAAACACATGAACCATGACCTAAAGCCTATTATTTTAGTTGGAAGAACACATTAAGAATATTATATCCTGGCCAGGCTCAGTGGCTTATGCCTGTAATTCCACCATTTTGGGAGACCAAGGCAGGCAGATCACGAGGTCAGGAGTTCGAGACCAGCCTGGCCAACATGGTGAAAACCGCATCTCTACTAAAAATACAAAAATTAGCTAGGCGTGGTGGCACGCACCTGCAATTCCAGCTACTAGGGAGGCTGAGGCAGGAGAATTGCTTGAACCCAGGAAGTAGAGGTTGCAGTGAGCCAAGATCGTGCCACTGCACTCCAGCCTAGGTGACAGAGCAAAGCTCTGTCTCAAAAAATATATATATATATAATATATATAATTTTATATATATTATATATAATATATGTTCTATATTTATATATATTATTTATAATATATATTCTATATATATATGATATATAATATATATCCTATATTTATATATATTATATATAATATATATTCTATATTTATATATATTATATAGAATATATATTATATATAATATATATATTCCATATTTATATATATTATATATAATATATATTCTATATATATATAATATATATTCTATATATATGATATATAATATATATATTCTATATATTATATAGAATATATATATTTTATATATTCTATATAATATATCGATATATATTACATGAATATATTTTATATATTTATATTAAATATATAATATATATTTATATAATATACATTATATATTGATATATTATATATATTATATATAATATATCATATATATTATATATTATATATATTATATATAATATATCATATATATTATATATTATATATATTATATATAATATATAATATATTATATATATTATATAATATATATAATATATAATATATATTATATATTATATATTATATACATTATATATTTATATATTATATACATTATATATTTATATATATTATATCCTAGAACATTGACATTAGAAGGAGCTTCACATTTGTGATTCCTAATGGCCTTCACAGTCATTCTTTTGGTTGTAAATGGTCCTTTTAAATATTATCAGCTATCTAAACTCTCATTATATACTTAGTTTTTTATTTTCCTCAGCCAATATGGTTTATGTATATCAAAAACTATTTCAAATCTTGAAAGAATACTCTGCATTTTCACCTACAAAATAAACATAAATAGTTCTGTGTACTCATCTTAACTGTAAACTTTGGTTTTCTTGGTTGTCATAACCTCCTAGCCTTTCACCTTAGTGACATAATTTTGCATTTTAATTGTCCTTTTAAGATAATTAAATATATGTATATATATATTTCAATATCTACTTCTTACTAACACTTTAGTGACTCCAAAGGTAGAAATTTGGAAGCTTGAAAGGTGAGATTAGATCTCAGCAATGTAAATTTGTGGGCTCTTTTTGGTAAGCACTACTGCACAGAAGGTAGGAAAAGAAGCTCATTTATCACATTCTACCTCATATGTACAACCCAGGTTAGATTGGCTTTGCCTGATATTAAAATAGCAAAATGTTTCTGAGAACCAAATCCAAAACATTTTCTTTGATCCACCAAGAGCTCTGTTACTCCAGATAAATCACAAGACAACTTCTAACTCCTCATTCATCTGCTTATTAGTTCCCTTTTCTCTGCACTATATGTAATCCCTTCACATAATCCCCTCCATGGTAACTCTGCTAAATCACAAAAATATATTTCTTTTCTAAATTACAAAGGCATAACTTAAAGTTTATCAAACAGATTTACATGGTACACTGGCTCAAATGACATTTAAATTTGTATCCCCAAGAAGCTGACCCTTACAGTGTCTCTTGATAGCTAGTCACTTGATCTAAGAAATCTTTTGCATGTCACTAGCACTATCTTAGAACTTTAACCCAATTAAATTATCCTTATGGAAAACTGTCCTTTTGGTGCACAAAGTTATTTACTGGCTATCCAAATGGCAAAACAAAGTAAAACTATGCCCTTGCCTCATTGCATTGCACTCTGGGTAAATAAAAAGTAGCATATTCGTTTCTGAATACCCATAACTGCTTTTGGTTTGGTGTTTTTTCACCTTCCTAACTTGAAAGTGTAATGATCTCTTGAAGACCCAGACAGTTATGAAAATTAAAGAATGAAAAATAATGTTTTACATCCCATTAAAAACCAGATTATTCTTTCTGGAACTTGGCAAAGAATAATTCAAATTACTACCTAATTCTAGTTTCCCTTTTAAAAAAAAGTTCAAACAACTGACAAGAAACCAAGAAAATTTATCCCCTTTTACTCTTCCAAATAGTTTTCCCTTTTACTGGATAAAAGTTATAGTAGCTCAGCTAAGATTTAGCTCTTTATTCGCTCCACAGGAGTTTTTGTCACTAAAACAGCACCAACAACTTTTCATGTATATCAGGTTTTGAATTTAAGTCTAATTATAAAATCATTGCAAATCAGATCCTATAGTCCTGCAGGGCTTGATTTCTGACTCTGTGTCTTTTCCCACTATGCCATATTTAGTACTCAGCATAACTGGCATCTTGAATGAACCCTTTCTTCCCCTGTTTTGGGAAGGTCCTGTTGACAATCTATATTCTAATATTGTCAGAATATTGGAAGAAGCCTAAAATTCCTTGATTCAAGGGAGTGATAAGCTAGTGTATTAACAGAGAAATTGGGCCTTTCTCAAGGCTAAAATAATTAGGGACCCTTAAGGTGAGTGTTCATATCATTATAAAATCCCAGGAAGCACCATGGAATGTTTGAAAGAGGCAGTTGAGGTGATATTAGGACAATATATGTACAGGGGCACTCAAGGGAGTGCCCAAATGGATGACAGGAGATCTGGTTAGTTTGTACAGTCTTTTCTCTTGTCAAGTGCATTATTTATCAATAAACTTTAGAATATCCATTTTTTTGCTTACTTGCCAGAAAGACAAAATATTGACTAGTTGATTAGAATATCATCTGCTTCGTTATTTCACTTTTTACTATATATTATTCAACTGGTTTTCTGGTACAGATTCTTTTCTGGTGAGTTTGGGCAAGACGAGCTAGTTTCCCTGTAGCCCAAACCCCATACCCTTTCCTCTCAGCTCCAAACCATCCCTGAAAACATAAATTGACAAAAGATAGAAGTTTCTAATATGAATGCATTGGAAGCCTCAACTCTGGGATAGAGAAATACTGCAACCTCAAAGTCTTGTTTATTAAGCTATTCCTCAATATTGCAAATATGGTTATGGTACTTTAAAAGTAGACACTATAAAAAAAAGTAGATACTATAATCACCTTGACTGTGTCTCCATATAACTGTTGAATAATTTGACTAATTAAGAATCTTACAATCTGGGAATTGAAAGAGACCCTAAAGATTGTGTAGTTCGGACTCCCATACATTGTTTGATTACCCTCTAGGGCTTTCTGCCAAGTGGCTACTTAACCTGTTCTTAAAAATGACAGGAACTCGCTCTCACTCTCCGTCTCCCTCTCCCTCTCCCCACGGTCTCCCTCTCCCTCTCTTTCCACGGTCTCCCTCTGATGCCGAGCTGAGGCTGGACTGTACTGCTGCCATCTCGGCTCGCTGCAACCTCCCTGCCTGATTCTCCTGCCTCAGCCTGCCGAGTGCCTGCAATTGCAGGCGCACGCCTCCATGCCTGACTGGTTTTCGTATTTTTTTGGTGGAGACAGGGTGTTGCTGTGTTGGCCGGGCTGGTCTCCAGCTCCTAACCGCGAGTGATCCGCCAGCCTCGGCCTCCCAAGGTGCCAGGATTGCAGACGGAGTCTCATTCACTCAGTGCTCAATGGTGCCCAGGCTGGAGTGCAGTGGCATGGTCTCTGCTTGCTACAACCTCCACCTCCCAGCCGCCTGCCTTGGCCTCCCAAAGTGCCGAGATTGCAGCCTCTGCCCGGCCACCACCCCGTCTGGGAAGTGAGGAGCGTCTCTGCCCGGCCACCCATTGTCTGGGATGTGAGGAGCCCCTCTGCCTGGCTGCCCAGTCTGGAAAGTGAGGAGCGTCTCTGCCCGGCCGCCATCCCATCTAGGAAGTGAGGAGCGCCTCTTCCCAGCCGCCATCCCATCTAGGAAGTGAGGAGCATCTCTGCCCGGCCGCCCATCGTCTGAGATGTGGGGAGCGCCTCTGCCCCACCACCCCGTCTGGGATGTGAGGAGCGCCTCTGCCCAGCCGCCCCGTCTGAGAAGTGAGGAGACCCTCTGCCCGACAACCACCCTGTCTGAGAAGTGAGGAGTCCCTCTGCCCGGCAGCCACCCCGTCTGGGAAGTGAGGAGCGTCTCCGCCCAGCAACCACCCCATCCGGGAGGGAGGTGGGGGTCAGCCCCCCGCCAGGCCAGCCGCCCCGTCCAGGAGGGAGGTGGGGGGATCAGCGCCCCGCCTGGCCAGCCGCCCTGTCCGGGAGGAAGGTGGGGGGTCAGCCCCCCACCCGGCCAGCCGCCCCGTCCGGGAGGGAGGTGGGGGGGTCAGCCCCCCGCCCGGCCAGCCACCCCGTCCGGGAGGTGAGGGGCGCCTCTGCCCGGCCACCCCTACTGGGAAGTGAGGAGCCCCTCTGCCCGACCACCACCCCGTCTGGGAGGTGTGCTCAGCAGCTCATGGAGAACGGGCCATGATGACGGTGGTGGTTTTGTGGAGTAGAAAGGGGGGAAAGGTGGGGAACGGATTGAGAAATCAGATGGTTGCCGTGTCTGTGTGGAAAGAAGTAGACATGGGAGACTTTTCATTTTGTTCTGTACTAAGAAAAATTCTTCTGCCTTGGAAAAAAAAAAATGACAGGAACTCAAAACCAGAAAAGGAGAAAAAAAGAGTGAAAGATCAAAAAAAAAAAAGAAAAGAAAGAATTGGGGCAATGAATAGACAACAGTTATAAATATAGTAGTTATTAATCCAACTATATTGATAATCACCTTAAATGTGAATAGTAGTCTAAATACACAAACTAAAAGACAGAGACTGTGAGAGTGAATTTCTTGAAAGACCAACTCTATGTTTTCTACACAATACTCACTTTAAATATAAAGACAGAGATAGATTAAAATTAAAATAATGGAGAAAATATACCATGATAGCACTAATCAAAAGAAAGAACATACATATATCAATTCTGAAAAGGAGACTTCAGAGGAAGGGAAATTATCAGGTATTAAAAGGGGCAGGAGTTTCCAAGATGGCGAACTAGAAACCGCTGTGGTCAGAGGCTCCCACTAAGAAGAATGAAAAGAGCAAGTGAATCCTGCACCAGCAACTGAGGTATTCAAGTTCTCTCATTGGGACTAACTAGGCAGATGGCACAACCCATGGAGAATGAGGAAAAGCAGGGTGGTGCGACAGCCCACTTGGGAGCTACAAGGGGCAAGGGGAGCTCCCACCCCTAGCCAAGGGAGGCAGTGAGCAATTGTGCTACCCCACCCAGGAAACCAGTCTTTTTTCCATGTATCTGTGCAACCCGTGGATCAGGAGGTCCCCCTCATGAGCCCATGCCACCAGGGTCTTGGGTCCCAAGCACAGAACTCTGCAGATTCTCAGCAGCCATTCAGCTGGAGACTGCCTAAGATTATTGAATTCCCATGGGAAGGGTTGGCCACCATCACTGTGGCTGCCTGCTGCCTAAGACAACTGAGCTCCTCAACGGAGGGGCGGCAGCCATCACTGCAGCTGCCTGTTTCCTGAGAGGGCTGAACTCCCAGGCGAAGAGGCAGCAGCCATCACTAAAGCTCCAGTCTGCCATTTTTCCCCTGCCAGAGCCAGGGAGATGGGGCAGTTTGGACCCAGGAGGAATTCTCCACGATGCAGCACAGCAGCTGTGGCAGATCGTGGCCAAACTGCCTCTTTAGGCTGGACCCTGACCCATCCCTCTTCACCAGGTGGGGCCTCCCTGTGGAAATTTCAGCAACTCCAGTGAGGGGATTATGAACAGAATTCTGATCTCCCTGGAATGGACCCCCGAAGGGGAGGGTGGCCGCCATCTCCACAGATCAGCAGAGTTAGTCTTTCCCCTGCTGGCACTGAGGAATCCAGGCAGTCTGAATGAGTGGAATTTTTCCCCAGCACAGTGCACCCCCTCCCCCAATGGACAGCCAGAGTGCTTCATTAAGCAGGACCTTGAACACATGCCTCCTGACTGGGTGAGGCCACTCAACAGGGGTTGTCAGACAGCTTACATAGGAGTGTTCCCACTGGCATCAGGTTGGTGCCCCTCTAAGATGGAGCTCCCAGAGGAAGGAGCAGGCTGCAATCTTTGCTATCTGCAGCCTCCAGTGGTGACACCTCCAGGTGCAGGAGGGACCCAGGTGAATAGGGTCTGGAGTGGACCCCTAGCAAACCACAGAAGCCCTACGGAAGAGGGGCCTGACTGTTAAAAGAAAAACAAACAGAAACCAATAACAACAACAGCATCAACAAAAAAGTCCCCACAAAAAACCCATCTGAAAGTCAGCAGCCTCAAAGATTGAAGCTAGATAAACTTATGAAAATGAGAAAGAATCAACGCAAAAACACTGAAAACTCAACAAGGCAGAGTGTATCTTCTCTTGCAAATGATCACAACACCTCCCCAGCAAGGGCACAGAACTGGGCAGAGGCTGAGATGGATAAATTGACTTAAGTAGGCTTCAGAAGGCCACTAATAATGAACTTCCCTGAGGTAAAGGAGCATGATCTAACCCAATGCAAAGAAGCTAAGAACCATGATAAAACACTACACAAGCTGTTAACCAGAATAAACAGTTTAGAAAGGAACATTAATGACCTGATGGAGGTGAAAAACACAACACAAGAACTTCACAATGCAAATACAAGTATAAATAGCCAAATAGACCAAACAAAGAATTTCAGAGCTTGAAGACTATCTTGCTGAAATAAGACAGGCAAACAAGAATAGAAAAAAAAAACAGAATGAAAAAGAATCAATAAAACATCTGAGAACTATGGATTATGTAAAAAGACTGAATCTATGACTGATTGGGGTACCTGAAAGAGACAGAAAGAACAAAATCAAGTTGGAAAACATACTTCAGGATAACATCCAGGAGAGCTCCAACCTAGCTAGAGGGGTTAACATTCAAATCAAGGAAATCCAGAGAACCCCAGTAAGATGCTCCAAGAGAAGATCAATCCAAAGACTCATAATCATCAGATTCTCCAAGGTCAAAATGAAGGAAAAATGCTAAGGGCAGGCAGAGAGAAAGGCTAGGTCACCTACAAAAAGAAGCCCATCAGACTAACAGTGGACCTCTTAGCAGAAACCCTACAAGCCAGAAGAGATTGGGGGCAAATATTCAACATTCTTAAAGAAAAGAATTTCCATACCAGAATTTCCTACCTGGCCAAACTGAGCTTCATAAGCAAAGGAGAAATATTTGTTTTTTCAGACAAGCAAATGCCAAGGGAGTTTGTCACCACTAAGCCTGCCTTGCAAGAACTCCTGGAGGAAGCACTAAATATAGAAAGGAAAAATTGTTACCAGCCACTACAAAAACACACTGAAGTACAAAGACCAATGACACTATGAAGCAATTACATCAACAAGTCTGCAAGGCTGGGCGTGGTGGCTCACACTGGTAATCCCAGCACTTTGGGAGGCTGAGGTGGGCAGATTACGTGAGGTCAGGAGTTCAAGACCAGCCTGACCAACATGGTGAAACCCCGTCTCTACTAAAAATACAAAAAAATTAGCCAGGTGTGGTAGTGCATGCCTGCAGTCCCAATTACATGGGAAGCTGAGGCAGAAGAATTGATTGAGCTTGGGAGGCAGAGGTTGCAGCGAGCTGATATCATGCCACTGTACTCCAGCCTGGGCAAAACAGCAAAAATCCCTCTCAAAAAAAAATACATAAATATATACATGCAAAATAACCAGCTAGAACCATTATGATGGAATCAAATTCACACATAACATATTAACCTTAAATGTAAATTGGCTAAATGCCCCAATTAAAAGACACAGAAGGGTAAGCTGTACACAGAGTCAAGATCCATCAATATGGTGTCTTCAAGAGACCTATCTTACATGCAAAGACAAACAGAGGCTCAAAATAAGGGGATAAAAAAAATTTACAAAGGCAGAAAAAAGATGTTCTTTGAAACCAACGAGAACAAAGACAGAACATACCAGAATCTCTGGGACACATTCAAAGCAGTGTGTGGAGGGAAATTTATAGCACTAAATGCCCACAAGAGAAAGCAGGAAAGATCTAAAATTGACACCCTAACATCACAATTAAAAGAACTAGAGAAGCAAGAGCAAACACATTCAAAAGCTAGCAGAAGGCAAGAAATAATGAAGATCAGAGCAGAACTGAAGGAAATAGAGACACAAAAAACCCTTCAAAAAATCAATGAATCCAGGAGCTGGTTTTTTGAAAAGACCGACAAAATTGATAGACTACTAGCAACACTAATAAAGAAGAAAAGGGAGAAGAATCAAATAGACGCAATAAAAAATGATAAAGGGGATATCACCACCAATCCCACAGAAATGCAAACTACCATCAGAGAATACTATAAACACCTCTATGCAAATAAACTAGAAAATCTAGAAAAAATTGATAAATTCCTCGACACATACACCCTCCCAAGACTACACCAGGAAGAAGTTGAATCTCTGAATAAATCAATAACAGGCTCTGAAATTGAGGCAAAAATGAATAGCTTACCAACCAAAAAAAGTCCACGACCAGACGGATTCACAGCCAAATTCTACCAGAGGTACAAAGAGGAGCTGGTACCATTCCTTCTGAAACTATTCCAATCAATAGAAAAAGAGGGAATCCTCCCTAACTCATTTTATGAGGCCAGCATCATCCTGATACCAAAGCCTGGCAGAGACACAACAAAACAAGAGAATTTTAGACCAATATACCTGATGAACATCGATGCAAAAATCCTCAACAAAATACTGGCAAACCGAATCCAGCAGCACATCAAAAAGCTTACTCACCATGATCAAGTGGGCTTCATCCCTGGGATGCAAGGCTGGTTCAACATACGCAAATCAATCAACATAATCTAGCATATAAACAGAACCAAGGACAAAAAAATATGACTATCTCAATAGATGCAGAAAAGGTCTCTGACAAAATTCAACAATGCTTCATGCTAAAAACTCTCAATAAATTAGGTATTGATGGGAAGTATCTCAAAATAATAAGAGCTATCTATGACAAACCCACAGCCAATGTCATACTGAATGGGCAAAAACTGGAAGCATTCTCTTTGAAAATGGCACAAGACAGGGATGCCGTCTCTCACCACTCCTATTCAACATAGTGTTGGAAGTTCTGGCCAGGGCAATCAGGCAGGAGAAGGAAATAAAGGGTATTCAATTAGGAAAAGAGGAAGTCAAATTGTCCCTGTTTGCAGATGACATGATTGTATATCTAGAAAACCCCATTGTCTCAGCCCAAAATCTCCTTAAGCTGATAGGCAACTTCAGCAAAATCTCAGGATACAAAATCAATGTGCAAAAATCACAAGCATTCTTATACACCAATAACAGACAAACAGAGAGCCAAATCATGAGTGAACTCCCATTCACAATGGCTTGAAAGAGAATAAAATACCTAGGAATCCAACTTACAAGCTACGTGAAGGACCTCTTCAAGGAGAACTACAAACCACTGCTCAATGAAATAAAAGAGGATACAAACAAATGGAAGAACATTCCATGCTCATGGGTAGGAAGAATCAATATCATGAAAATGGCCATACTGCCCAAGGTAATTTATAGATTCAATGCGATCCCCATCAAGCCACCAATGACTTTCTTCACAAAATTGGAAAAAACTACTTTAAAGTTCATATGGAACCAAAAAAGAGCCCGCATCACCAAGTCAATCCTAAGCCAAAAGAACAAAGCTAGAGGCATCACGCTACCTGACTTCAAACTATACTACAAGGCTACAGTAACCAAAACAGCATGGTACTGGTACCAAAGCAGAGATATAGATCAATGGAACAGAATGGAGCCCTCAGAAATAACACCACATATCTACAACTATCTGATCTTTGACAAACCTGAGAAAAACAAGCGATGGGGAAAGGATTCCCTATTTAATAAATGGTGCTGGGGAAACTGGCTAGCCATATGTAGAAAGCTGAAACTGCATCCCTTCCTTACACCTTATATAAAAAGTAATTCAAGATGGATTAAAGACTTAAATGTTAGACCTAAAACCATAAAAGCCCTAGAAGAAAACCTAGGCATTACCATTCAGGACATAGGCATGGGCAAGGACTTCATGTCTAAAACACCAAAAGCAATGGCAACAAAAGCAAAAATTGACAAATGGGATCTAATTAAACTAAAGAGCTTCTGCACAGCAAAAGAAACTACCATCAGAGTGAACAGGCAACCTAAAAATGGGAGAAAATTTTTGCAATCTATCCATCTGACAAAGGGCTAATATCCAGAATCTACAATGAACTCAAACAAATTTACAAGAAAAAAACAACCCCATCAAAAAGTGGGTGAAGGACATGAACAGATACTTCTCAAAAGAAGACATTTATGCAGCCAAAAAACACATGAAAAAATGCTCACCATCACTGGCCATCAGAGAAATGCAAATCAAAACCACAATGAGATAGCATCTCACACCAGTTAGAATGGCAATCATTAAAAAGTCAGGAAACAGCAGGTGCTGGAGAGGATGTGGAGAAATAGGAACACTTTTACACTGTTGGTGGGACTGTAAACTAGTTCAGCCCTTGTAGAAGTCAGTGTGGCAATTCCTCAGGGATCTAGAACTAGAAATACCATTTGACCCAGCCATCCCATTACTGGGTATATACTCAAAGGACTATAAATCATGCTGCTATAAAGACACATGCACACGTATGTTTATTGCGGCACTATTCACAATAGCAAAGACTTGGAACCAACACAAATGTCCAACAATGATAGACTGGATTAAGAAAATGTGGCACATATACACCATGGAATACTATGCAGCCATAAAAAATGATGAGTTCATGTCCTTTGTAGGGACATGGATGAAATTGGAAATCATCATTCTCAGTAAACTATTGCAAGAACAAAAAACCAAACACCGCATATTCTCACTCATAGGTGGGAATTGAACAATGAGATCTCATGGACACAGGAAGGGGAACATCACACTCTGGGGACTGTTGTGGGGTGGGGGAAGGGGGGAGGGATAGCTTTAGGAGATATACCTAATGCTAAATGACGAGTTAATGGGTGCAGCACACCAGCATGGCACATGTATACATATGTAACTAACCTGCACATTGTGCACATGTACCCCAAAACTTAAAGTATAATAATAATAAAATTTAAAAAAAATAACAGATGCTGGTGAGGCTGCAAAGAAAAGGGAATGCTTGTAAACTCATAAACTGTTGGTGGGAATGTGAATTAGTTCAACCAGTGTAGGGAGCAGTTTAGAGATTTCTCAATGAATATTAAACAGAATTACCATTTGACACAGTAATCCCATTACTGGGTAGACACCCAAAGAAAAATAAATTGTTCTCTAAACAAGACACATGTCTTCATATGTTCATTGCAGCACTATTCACAATAGCAAATACCTGGAATTAACCTAGGGGCCCATCAATAGTAAGTTGGATAAAGAAAATGTGGCGTATATATACACCACGGAATACTATGTGGCCATATAAAAGGATAAAATTGTGTCCTTTGAAGCAACATAGATGCAGCTGAAGGCCATAATCCTAACCAAATTAACAGAGGAATGGAAAACCAAATATCACATGCTCTCACTTATAAGTGGGAGCTAAACATTGGGTACATATGGACATAAAGATGGCAGCAATATACACCAGGGACTACTAATGGAAGAAGAGAAAGCAGAAAAAGGGCTAAGAAACTACCTATTGCATCCTATGCTCACTTCGTGGGTGACAGGATCATTTTTAACCCAAACCTCAGTGTCACAAAATATAGCCATGTAACAGCCTGCACATGTACCCCCTGAACTTAAAATAAAAGTTGAAAAGATATTTTTAAAAGAACTGGTTCTTGAAAAGTAAGTAAAATTAGAGAGACAGAGCAAGATGACAGAATAGACAGCTCCATCAATCGTGCCGCCCAGAAGGACACCACACAGAAAAAAAAAAAAAAAAAAACACCTGCATAAGAACCAAAAATCAGATAAGCACTCATAGGACCTTGTTTAAACGTCATATTGCTGGAAGGGGCACTGAAGAAATAGAAAAAACAAACCTGAATTGCTGACACCACCCCATCCCCACCCCAGAGGTGCTGAAAGCATCTCTGGGCACTGGGGGAGGGAGAACACAGTAATTGTGAGGCATTGAACTCGGTGCCCTCCTGTTAGAGCAGAAAGAAAAAGCAGATCCAGCTCAGCTGATGCCCACCCACAGAGGAGGCATTTAAACCAGCCCTAGGCAAAGGAAAATCCCTTATCCCAATGGTCCAAACTTGAGTTATGCCTGAAAACCTCGCCACCGAGGGCCAAAACAAAGTAAACAAAGTTTACTTGTTCCCTAAGTAAACCTGAAAGGCAATCTAGGCCACAAGGACTGCAACTCTTAGGTGAGTCCTAGGCCTGAACTAGGCCCAGAAACAGTGGACTGGGAGGGCACATGACATACCGAAAGACCGGCTGGAGCAGCCAACGGTGTGCTGGCATCACCCCTTCCCTAACCCCAGGCTGCACAGCTCCCAGCTCAAGAAAATATCCCCTCTTTCCGCTTAAGGAAAAGAGACAGAAAAGTGGGGATGACTTTCTTTTGTATCTTGGATACCAGCTCAGCCACAGCAGGATAGGGCTCTGGTCAGAGTCATGAGACCATCGTTCCAGGCCCTAGCTCCCAGATGACATTTCTAGACACACCCTGAACCAGAAGAGAACCTGGTGCCTTGAAGGAAAAAACTCAGTCCTGCCAGCATTTATCACCTGCTAACTGAAGATTTCTGGGGCCCTGAATAATCAGCAGCAATACCAAGGTGCTACATCCAGGGCCTTGTGTGAGCCTCTGAGACTTGTTGGCTTCAGGTGAGACTCAGCACATTACCAGCTGTAGTGGCTATGGGACAAAACTCCTCCTGCTTGAGAAAAGCAGAGGGAAAAGTTAAGGGAACTTAGTCTTGCACATTAGTTACCAACAATACCACAGGGTGTGGTAAAGCACCAAGCAGGCTCTTAGGGATCCCCATTTTCAGGACATGAGTCTTGGATGGCATTTCTGGACTTGCCCTGGGCCAGACGGGAATCCACTGCCCCGAAGGGTGAGTCCTAGGTAAGGCAGCATTCACCACAAGCTGACCAAGAGACCTTGAGGCTTAAGGAAACATCAGTGGTAGTCTGGTAGTATTCCTCGTGACAAGAGTTGGTGGTAGTCACAGGGTGTAACTTCTCTGCCTTTGGAAAGGTGAGAGAAGAGTGAGAAGAACTGCAACTTGTAGTTTGAGTGCCAGTTCAGCCACTACACAGTAAAATACCATGTAAACTGCTAAGGATTTTTACACTAGTCCCTGACTCCCTCCCAGATGGCACTCCTGGACCCACCCAGGGCCTGGGGGTCCTCTCCAACCTGAAGGTAAAGACATAGGCCTGGCTGGCTTTGCTACCTGCTGATTTTAGAGCCCCAGGGCATCAAGTGAACATAGGCAATAATGAGGGAGTGGTTACAGCAGGTCTTGGGTGAGACCCAGTGCTGTGCTAGCTTCAGGTCTGACCCAGAGCAGTCATAGTGGTGGTGGCCACAGGGGGTTTTGTGTCACTTCACCCCAAACATTACATGACTTAGAACAGAGAGGGAGACTGTTTGGGAGAAAGTAAGGGAAGGAAACAACAGTCTCTGCCTGGTAATCCAGAGAATTCTCTGAAATCTTATCCAAGAACAACAAGGCAGTACCTCTATGATTCCGCAAGAAACACAGCATTACTAGGCTGCGAGTGCTCCTTAAAGCAGATATATCTTCGATAACACATAAGTTCTTTCTAATATCTAGAAAGCATTCACAAGAAGAACAGCTACAAATAAGCTCACACAATAAAAATTAAAATAAATACCTAACTCTTCAGTGCCCAGACACTGAAAAACATCTACTAGCACCAACACCATCCAGGAAAATATGACCTCACCAAATGAAATAAATAAGGCACAAAAACAGGTCGAAATCCTGGGACCAATCCTGGAGAAACAGAGATATGGTACCTTTCAGATAGAATTCAAAATGCAATTAGCTTAGTGAAGACTGCATCAGAGTTTTTTAACAGCAGAAATGACCAAGCAGAAGAAAGAATTAGAAAGCTTGAATACAGGCTATTCAAAAATAAACAGAGGAGACAAAGAAAAAAGCATTAAAAAATGAAGCATGCCTACAGGATCTATAAAATAGCCTTTAAAAAGCAAACCTAAGAGTTACTGGCCTTAAAGAGGAGGTAGAGAAAGAGATATGGATAGAAAGTTTATTAAAAAAAAATCAGGTAACTTCACAAACATAGAGAACGATAGCAACATTTATGTACAAGAAGGTTATAGAATACCAAGCAGGTTTAACCAAAAGAAGATTACCTCAAGGCACTTAAATCAAACTCCCAAAGGTCAAGGACAACAAAAGGTTCCTAAAAGCAGCAACACATAAGTAACAAACAACACACAATGGAGCTCCAATAGGTCTAGTAACAGACTTTTTGCTGGAAACCTTATAGGTCAGGAGAGAGTGGTGTGAATTATTTAAAAGTGCTAGAAGAAAAAAAATCATTACCCTAGAATAGTACAGCCAGCAAAGATATCTCTTAAGCATGAAGAAATAGAGATTTTCCAGACAAACAAAAGCTGAGAGATTTTATCAACACCAGACCTATCCTATAAGAAATACTAAAAGATTTCTTCAATCTGAAGGAAAAGGATGTTAATGAGCAAGAAGATATCACATGAAGGTAGAAAACTACTTGCAATAATAAGCACACGGGAAAAAAAACAGAAAAGTATAACAGTAATTGTGGTGTGTACACTTTTCTTAAGTAGAAAGACTAAATGGTGAACCAATCAAACATAGTAGCTTCAACAACTGTTCAAAACATATATAGTTAAAAAAAGACATGAAGAGAAAAAAACAAAAAGTTAAAAAGTAGTGAAAGATAGTTAAAGCTTAGAGCTTTTGTTTTCTTTTTAAGTGTTTGTTTATAAAATCGGTGTTAAATTGTCATCAGTTTAAAATAATGGGCTACAGGATAGTAATTGCAAGTCTCATAGTAACCTCAAATTTAAAAATATACAACAGATACAAAAAATCAAAAGTAAGAAATTAAATTGTACCACCAGAGAAAATCACCTTCACTAAAAGAAAGCCAGGAAGAAAGGAAAGAAGGAGGTGAAGAAATAACAAAATGGCAGGAGTAAGTCCTTACTTATCAATAATACCATTGAATTTAAATGTACTAAACTCTCCCATCAAAAGACATAGACTGGCTGAATGAATAAAAAATAAGACCCAATAGACTGTTGCCTACAAGAAACACACTTCACCTATAAAGACAAACTTAGACTAAAAATAAAGGGATGGAAAAATATATTCCATGCCAGTGGATACCAAGAAAGAGCAGGAGTTACTATACTTATATCACATAAAATATATTTCAAGAAAAAAACTATAAGAAGAGACAAAGAAGGTCACTATATAATGATAAAGGGGTCAGTTCAGCAAGAGTATATAACAAGTTTAAATACATACATACTCAACCATAAAATACCCAAATATATAAAGCAAATATTATTATAGAAAAAGAGAGAGTGTCCAATACAATAATAGGTGGACACTTCAACTCAACACCTCATTTCAGCATTAGACAGCTCTTCCAGACAAAAATATCAACAAAGAAACATCAGATTTAATTGATGCTATAATACATATGGACCTAATAGAAATTTACAGAACATTTTATCCAAAGGCTGGAAAATAAACATTCTTCTCCTCAGCACATAAATCGTTCTCAAGGATAGGCCATACGTTAGGTCTCAAAACAATTCTTAAATCATTCAAAAAACTCGAAATAATTTCAAGTATCTTCTCTGGCCACAATGTAATAAATCTACAAATGAATAACAAGATGAATTTTGGAAACTAAACAAACATATGTAAGTGAAAAATGTTCCATGTTCATGGATTGGAAGAATCAACATTGTCAAAATGTCCACACTACCCAAAGCAGTCTACATATTCAATGCAAATCCTACCAAAAAACCAAAGACATTCTTCACAGAAATAGAAAAGAAGATCCTAACATTTATATAGAACCACAAAAGACCCAGAATAGCCAAAGTTATTCCTAGCAGAAAGAAAAAAACTGGAGCAATCACATTACCTCACTTCAAATTATACTACAGAGCTATAGTAACCAAAACAGCATGGTACTGGCATAAAAACAGACACATAGACCAATGAAACAGAATAAAGAACTCAAAAGCAAATCCACATAAATACAATAAACTCATTTTTGCCAAAGTTTCCAAGAAAATACACTGGGGAAAAGACAGTTTCTTCAACAAATTGTGCTTGGAAAAATGGATATCCACATGCAGAAGAATGAAACGTGACCCCTATCTCACACCATATACAAAAATCAAATCAAAATGGATGGAAGATTTAAATCTAAGAGTTCAAACCATGAAACTACTATATGAAAACATTAGGGAAACTCTCCAGGACATTGGTCTGGGCAAAAATTTTCTAAATAATACCCCACAAGCACAGACAAATCAATTTAAAAGCTCCTGCACCACAAAGAAAACAATATAGTGAAGAGACAACCCACAGAATGGGAGAAAATATTTGCAAATTACCCATCTGACAAGGGATTAATAACCAGAATATATAAGAAACTCAAACAACTGTATAGGAAAAAAAATCTAATAATCCAATTTTAAAATGGGCAAATGATTTGAATAGACATTTCTCAAAAGAAGACATACAAATGGCAAATCAGCCTATGAAAAGGTGCTCAACATCATTCATCATCAGAGAAATGAAAATCAAAACTAAAATGAGATATCATCTCACCCCAGTTAAAATGGCTTTTATCCAAAAGACAGACATTAAAAAATGCTGGAGAGGATGTGAAGAAAAGGTAACACTCATACATTCTTGGGGGGAATGTAAATTAGTATAACCACTATGGAAAACCATTTGGAGGTTCCTCAAGAAACTAAAAATTTAGCTACCATGTGATCCTGAATTCTTACTGCTGGGTATATACCCAAAAGAAAGAAAATTGGTATATTGAAGAGATATCTGCACTCCCATGTTTGTTGCAGTACTGTTCACAATAGCCAAGTTTGGAAGCAAACTAAATGTCCATCAACAGATGACTGGATTTAAAAATGTCGTATATATATACAATGGAGTACTATGCAGCCATAAAAAATGAGATCCTGTCATTTGCCACAACATGGATGGAACTGGAAGTCATTATGTTAAGTGAAATATGTTATACATAGAAATACTAACTTTGCATGTTCTCATTTATTTGTGGTTGCTGAAAATGAAAACAATTCAATTCATGGACACAAAAAAGTAGAAGAATGTTTACCGGGAGCTGGAAATCTTAGTGGGGGGTGGGGAGCAGGGGGAAGTGGGAATGGCTAATGGGTACAAAAATATATAGTTAGAAAGAATGAATAAGACCTAGTATTTTGGAGCTCAAAGGGGTGACAATAGCTAATAATAATTTAATTGTACCTTTTAAAATAACTAAGAGAGTATAATTAGATCATTTCTAACAGAAAAGATAAATGTTTAATGAGATGGATACCCCATTTTTCACAATGTGATTATTGTTTGTTGCATGTCTTATGAAATTTTTAATGAATCCCATAAATGTATACACCTATCATGTACCTACAAAAATTTTTTGAAAAAGAGAGAAAACATTAATACAAAAATATATAGAGAGAGATTGGCAGAATAAATGTTTAAAATGTGATCCAATCATATGCTGCTCACAAAATCTCTCCTTATCTGTAAAAACACATAGATTGAAAGTAAAGAGATGGAAAAATTATTCTATGCAAACAGAAGCCAAAAGCAAGCAGGAGTAACAACACTCATATCAGATAAAACATGCTTTAAATCAAAAACAGTAAAAATAGTAAAAGAAGATCATTATATAATGATAAAAGTGTCAATTCAGCAAGGGGCTATAAGAATTTTAAATATATATGCACCCAACACTGGAACATCCAGATTCATAAAGCAAATATTATTGGACCTAAAGGAAGAGATAGACAGCAGTACAATAATAGTGGGAGACTTTGATTCCCTACTCACAGCATGGGACAGATCATCTAGATGGACAATCAACTTTAAATCAAATAAACCTAACAGACATTTACAGAACTTTCTACCCAACAACTACAGAATATGCATTATTCTCATCAATATAACATTCTCCATGATAGACCATATGTTATGCTACAAAACAAATCTCAACACATTTTTTAAAATCAAAATTATATCAAATATGATCTCAGACCACAGTGAAATAAAAGTAGAAATCAATACCAAGAGAAACTCTGCAAACTATACAAATACATGGAAATTAAACCACATGCTCCTGAATGATCATTGGATCAATGAAGAAATTAAGAAAGAAATTGAAAACATTTTTTAAAGCAAACGAAAATGGAAACAGAACATCCCAAAACCTATGAGATATGGCAAAAGCAGTGGTAAGATGGAAGTTTATAGCATTAAATGCCTACATGAAAAAAGAGGAAAAATTATAAATGAACAACTCAATATTGCACCTCAAGGAGCCAGAAAAGCAAGAACAAACCTAACCTAAAGTTAGCAGAAGAAAAATATAACAAACATCACAACAGAACTAAATGAAATAGAGATGAAAAAAACAATACAAAGGATCAACAAAACAAAAAGTTGGTTCTTCAAAAAGATAAACAGGCCAAGCACAGTAACTCATGCCTGTAATTCCAGCAATTTCAGAGGCCAAAATGGAAGGATTACTTAGCTCAGGAGTTCAAGATAAGCCTGAGCAACAAAGTGAGACTACCATCTCTACAAAAAATAAAAATAAAAATTAGCCAGGTGTGGTAGGACCTGTAGTCCCATTTACATGGGAGACTGAGGCAGAAAGATTGCTTGAGCCTGGGAGGTTAAGGCTACAGTAAGCCATGATTATGCTACTTCACTCTAGCCTGGGTGACAGAGCGAGATGTTTTCTCAAAATAAATAAATAAACAAAATTGATAAACTGCTAGCTAGACTAACCAAGAAAAGAAGAAAGAAGATTCAAATAAATAAGATCAGTTACAAAAAAGAGACATTACAATTAATACCACAGTAATAAAAAAGATCATCACAGGCTATTATGAAAAAGTATATGCTCACAAACTAAAAAGCCTAGAGGAAATGGATTAATTCCTGGAAACATATAATCTTCCAAGATTGAACCAAGAAGAGATAGAAAAGGTGAACAGTTCAATAATGAGTAGTGACATTGAATCAGTAGTTAAAAAACCTCCCAACGAAGAAAATGCCAGACCAGATGAGTTAACAGCTGAATTCTAAAAAAGTAAAATAAAAGGAAAGCTAATAACAATCCTCCAAAAACTATTTCAAAACACTGAGGAGAAACGAATTCTCCAAAGCCGGTATCACTATGATACCAAAACCAGGCAAGAACATACATGAAAGAATAAAACTGCATGCCAATATCACTAATAAACATAGGTGCATAAATTATCAATAAAATACTACCAAACTGAATCCAACAGCACCTCACAAAGATAATACACCATAATCAAGTGTATTTCTTCCCAGGAATGCAAGGTTGGTTCAACATACACATATCAATAAATGTAATACAACACATGAACAGAATAAAGGACATAAACCAGATGATAATCTCAATAAATGCATAAAAAGCATTGATGAGATTATTTTCTATTTAGAAAACACTAAAGACTCTGCCAAAAAAAAAAAAACTCTTAGATTTGACATGTCACTTCAGTGAAGTTTCAGGATGCAAAATCAATGTGCAAAAATCAGTAGCATTTCTATACACTAATAATGATCAACCTGCGAAAAAAATCAAGGAGGCACTCCCCCTTACTAAAGCTACAAAAAAAAAAACCTAGGAATATATTTAATCAGGGAGTTGAAAGAGCTCTACAAAAAAAAAAACTACAAAACACTGATAAAAGAAATTATAGATGAAAAAAAGTGGAAAAAACATTCGTTTTCATGGATCAGAAGAATTACTATTGTAAAAATGAACATACTGCCTAAGGAAATCTACAGATTCAATGCAATCTCTATAAAAACCAATATCATTTATCACAGAATTAGGAAAAACAATCCTGAAATTCATATGGAACCAAAAAAGAACTCAAATAGCCAAAGCAATCCTAAGGAAAAAAGAAAAAAAATAGCTACAGGCATTCCATTGCCTGACCTCAAATTGCACTTCAAGGCTAGAGTAATTATAACAGCATCATGCTGGTATAAAAATAGATGCATAGATCAGTTGAACAGAATAGAAAACCAAGAAATAAAGTCACATGAATACAGCTAACTGATCTTTCACAAAGTTGAAAAGAACATACACTGAGGAAAGGACACCCTTTTCAATAGGTGCTGGGAAAATTCGATTGCCATATGCAGAATAATAAAACTGGACCCCTATTTCTCACTATGTACAAAAGTCAACTCGAGATGGATTAAAGACCCAAATGTAAGACCTGAAACTATAAAAATACTAGAAGAAAACTTAGTAAAAAGTCTTTTGGACATTGGTCTAGGCAAAAAAATTATGAATAAGACCTCAGAAGCACAAGCAACAAAAACAAAAATAAGTAAATGAAACTTAAACTGAAAATATTCTGCACAGCAAAGGAAACAATAAACAGAGTTAAGAGACAACATACAGAATGACATAAAATATTTGCAAACTATGCATCCAACAGGGGACAGATATCCATAATTTACAAGGAACTCAACAAAATAAAAACAACCCCATTAAAAAGTTTTAAAAGGGCATGAATAGATATTTTTCAAAAGAAGACATACAAATAACCAACAACCATATGAAAAAATGTTCAACATCACTTATTATTAGAAAAATGCAAACTAAAACCACAACGAGGTATCATCTTATAGGACTTAGAATGGCTCATTAAAAATGACAAAAAAAATAACATGTTGGAGGATTTGAAGAAAGAAAATGCCAATACACTGTTGGTGGGAATGTAAATTAGTACAGCCTCTATGAAAAACAATATAGAGATTCTCAAAGAACTAAAAATAGGACTACCAATCAATCCAGCAATCCCACTACTGGGCATTTACCCAAAGGAAAAGAAATAATTATATTTAAAAGATAGCAGCATAAATATATAATATATATTATATATTTATAACAGCACTATTCACAATAGCAAAGACATGGAATCAACCTTAATATCCATCAATGGATGACTGGGTAAAGAAAATGTGGTATATATACACAATGGAATACTATTCAGCCTTTAAAAATAATGAAATAATGTCTTTGTCAGTAACATGAATGGAACTGAAAGCCATTATCTTAAGTGAAACCACTCAAACACAGAAAGACAACAATCACATATTCTCACTTATAATGGGAGGTAAATAACGTGTATATGTGAATGTAGAATGTGGAATGATAAGACAATGGAGACTCAGTGATAAGGGGGTTTGAGGCAATGAAGGATGGGAAATTACTTAATTGGTACAATGTACATTATTTGGATAATGGACACTCTAAAAGCCCTGACTTCACCACTACACAATCTATTCATGTAACAAAATTACACTTATACTCCATAAATTTATATAAGCAAAAATTATTACCATTACAATTTAGAGTTTTACTGTAGATTTTAATTAATATTTTATAGGTTATTTATGGATTTATAACTTATAAACCACTAAATATCAATCAATAATTAAAGCAGATACTAAACCTTTTATTACTAAGCCATTGAAAGAGTTATTCCATTTTTATTAACTATTTATAAATTATTTTAGTCCACAGAGACAACATATTATTCAATTTCAAATAAGATTTGAAATTATGATTGTAATGTATAAACAATATTTGTAAAAAAATTTTTGAATAGTTAATGCACTCATATGGTTCAAGAATCAAAAAACAGAATGAGTATTTGGTGCACAGACTTCTCCACCTCTCTGTCCAGCCACCCATTTTCCCCTTCTGGAAGCAGACAATGTGATCAGTCACCTGTGTATCTTTTCACAAACATATTAGCAAATGCCTACATATATGTGTTTTTATACATTCACTCTATACCTTTTTCAGAAAAAATGGTAGAAGACTGTAAATATTTCCCAATTTGTACATGTGTGTTCAATTAACAATGTGTCTTTTTAAATATTTTAACTTTTATTTTAGTCAGGGGTACATCTGCTGGTTTGTTATATAGGTAAACTACTGACTCAGGGGTTTGGTGTACAAACTATTTCATCACCTGGGTACTAAACATAGTACCCAACAGGTTTTTTTTCCCAAATCTCTTTATCCTCCTTTCTACCATTTCTACAATGGTAGAAAGCACTGTGGCAGAAAGCTTATACACCAGCAATGTATAAACATTCCTTTTTCTCTGCAACCTCACCAGAATCTGTTATTTTTGTCTTTTTAATAATAGCCATTCAAACTGTGTGTGAGATGGTATCTCATTGTGGTTTTGATTTGCATTTCTTTAATGTTTAGGGATATTGAGCATTTTTTCATATCATTCTTGGCCGCATGTATGTCTTCTTTTGAATGGTGTCTGTTCATGTCCTTTGCCCACTTTTTAATAGGTTTGCTTGTTTTTTGCTTGAACATTTCAGTTCCTTATAGATTCTGAAAATTAGACCTTTGTCAGATGTATAATTTACAAATATTTTCTCTCGTTCTGTAGGCTGCATGTTGACTCTGTTGACAGTTTCTTTTGCTGTGCAGAACTCTAGAGTTTAATTAAGTTCAATTTCTCAATTTTTGCTTTAGTTGAAATTACTTTTGGCATTTTCATTATGAAATCTTTGCCAGTTCCTATGTCCAGAATGGTATTTCCTAGGTTATATTACAGGGGTTTTATAGTTTTGAGTATTATATTTAGGTCCTTAATTCATATTGAGATGATTTTTGTATATGGTATAAGGAAGGCGTCCAGTTTCAATCTTCCACATTGATAAGGTTTGGCTCTCTGTCCCCACTCATCATCCCATATCGAATTGCAATCCTCACGTGTCAAGGGAGAAACCTGTAATCCCCACGTATCAAGGGAGGGAGGTGATTGGATCATGGGGTCAGTTTCCCCAATACTGTCTTTATGATACTGATTGAGTTCTCATGAGATCTGATGGTTTTATAAGTGTCTGGCATTTCCCTTCCTGGCATTTTTCTTTTCTGCCACCATGTGAGAAAGGTCCTTGCTTCTCCTTCACCTTCCACCATGATTGTAAGTTTCCTGAGGACCTCTCCTACCAGCCATGTGGAACTGTGAGTCAATTAAACCTCCTTCCTTAAAAAATTACCCAGTCTCAGCTGGGCTCATGCCTGTAATCCCAGCACTTTGGGAGGCCGAGGCAGGCGGATCACCTGAGGTCAGGAGTTTGAGAACAGCCTGGCCAAAATGGTGAAACCCTATCTCTACTAAAAATAAAAAAATTAGGTGGGTGTGGTGGCATGCACCTGTAATCCCAGCTACCCAGGAAGCTGAGGCAGGAGAATCACTGGAACCCAGGAGGCAGAGGCTGCAGTGAGCCAAGATTGCACCACTGCACTCCAGCCTGGGTGACAGAGGAAGACTCCATTCCAAAAAAAAAAGAAAATTACCCAGTCTCGGGTATTTGTTTGTAGCAGTATGAAAACAACCTTTACATGCATATAGCTTGGCAGTTATACCAGCACCATTTATTTAATAGGGAGTTCTTTCCCCATTGCTTGTTTTTGTCAGCTTTGCTGAAGATCAGATGGTTGTAGGTGTGTGGCATTATTTCTGGGTTCTCTATTCTGTTCCATTGATCTATGTATGTTTTTGTACCAGTTTTGATCTATGTGTATGTTTTTGTACCAGTAGCATGCTATTTTTATTACTGCAGCTTTGTAGTACAGTTTGAAGTCAGGCAATGTGATACTTCCAGCTTTGTTCTTTTTACTTAGGATTATCTTTCCTATTTGGGCTCTTTTTGGGTTCCAAATTAATTTTAGAATAGTTTTTTTTGAGTTCTGTGAAGAATGCCCTTGGTAGTTTGATGGGAACAGCATTGAATTTGTACACTGCTTTGCTTTGGACAGTATGGCCATTTTAATTATATTAATTTTTCCTATCCATGGGTAAGGAATGTTCTTCTATTTGTCTATGTCATCTTTCATTTCTTTGAGCAGTGTTTTGTAATTCTTATTGTAGGGATCTTTCACCTCCCTGGCTAGCTGTAGTCCTAGGTTTTTTTATTATTATTATTATTATTATTGTTATTATACTTTAAGTTTTAGGGTATTTTATTCCTTTGTGGCAATTTTAAGATTTCACTTCTGATTTGGCTCTTGGCTTGGGGGTGTTCATGTATAGAAATGCTACTGATATTTGTCCATTGGTTTTGTATCCCAGAACTTTGCTGAAGTTTCTTATCAGCTCAAAGAGCTTTTGAGCTAAGACTGGGGGTGGGGGGTGGTTCTTGGTATAAAATCATGTCATCTGCAAACAGGAATAGTTTTAGTTCCTCTCTTCTTATTTAAATGTTGTTTATTTCTTTGTCTTGCCTGATTGCTTTGGACAGAACTTTCAATATTATGTTGAATAGTAGTGGTGAGAGTTGGCATCCTTGTCTTGTGCCAGTTTTCAACAGGAAAGTTTTCAGATTTTGCCCATTCAGTATGATATTGGCTGTGGGTTTGTCATAGATGGATCTTATTATTTTAAAGTATGTTCTTTCAGTGCCTAGTTAATTCAGGGGTTTTAATGAGAACAGATACTGAATTTTATTAAAAGCCTTTTCTGTATCTATTGAGATAATCATAGAGTTTTTGTCTTTAGTTCTTTTATGTGATGAATCACATTTATTGATTTTCCTATAGTGGATTAACTTCTTGATGTGATGCTGGATTTAGTTTGCTAGTATTTTGTTGAAGATTTTTGCATCTACGTTCATCAGGGATATTAGCCTGAAGTTTTCTTTTTTCTTGTGTCTCTACTAGGTTTTGGTATCAGTATGATGCTGGTCTCATAGAATGAATTGGAAATGAATTCCTCATCCTCAATTTTTTTGAATAGCTTTAGTAGGAATGTCACCAGCTCTTTTTGCACATCTAGTAGAATTTGTATGTGAATCCATCTGGTCCTAGGCTTTTTTTAGTTGGTAGGATATTTATTATTTATTCAATTTCAGAGTTCATTATTGGTCTGTTCAGGGATTCAATTTCTTTTTGTTCAGTCCTGGGAAGACGTATGTGTCCAGGAATTTATCCATTTCTTTTAGATTTTCTAGTTTGAATAGAGGTGTTCATAGTAGCCTCTGATGGTTATTTGTATTTCTGTGGTGTAAGATTGGTAACATCTCCTTTGTCATTTCTAATTATCTTTATTTGGATTATCTCTTTTTCTTCTTTACTAGTCTAGCTAGTGGTCTATCTTATTAATTTTTTCAAGAACCACCTTCTAGACTCATTTATCTTTTATAAGGCTTTTTGTTTCTCTATCTCCTTTAGTTCAGTTCTGATTTTGGTTATGTCTTCTCTTCTGCTAGCTTTGAGGTTGGTTTGCTCTTCCTTCTGTAGTTCTTCTAGTTGTGATGTTAGGTTGTTAATGTGAGACCTTTCTAACTTTTTGATGTGGTTGTTTAGTGCTATACATTTCTCTCTTAACACTGCCTTAGCTGTGTCCCAGAGATTCTGGTATGTTGTGTCTTTGGTCTCATTAGTTTCAAAGAAATTCTTGATTTCTGCTTTAATCTCATTATTTACCCAAGGGTTATTCAGGAGCATGTTGTTTAATTTCCAAATAATTGTATGGTTTTGAGTAATTTTTCTGGGCTTGATTTCTATTTTTATTGTGCTATGGTCCAACAGGGTGGTTGATAAGATTTTGGTTTTTTTGAGTTTGCTGAGAATTGTCTTATGTCCAACTTCATGGTCGATTTTAGAGTATGTACTTGTGGCAATGAAAAAAATGTATATTCTATTGTCTTTGGGTAGAAAGTTTTATGGATGTCTATTAGGTCCTTTTGGTCAAGTGTGGAATTCAGATCTGGAATCTCTTTGTTAACTTTCTGCTCAATCATCTGTCTAATACTGTCAGTAAGGTGTTGAGGTCTCCCGCTATTATTGTGTGTAAGTCTAAGTCTCTTTGTAGGTCTCTAAGAATTTGCTTTATAAATCTGGGTGCACCTGCATTGGATGCTAAGAGATTTAGGATAGTTAGGTCTTCCTGTTGGATTGAATGCTTTACCATTATGTAATGCCCTTGTCTTTTTTATCTTTGTTGGTTTAAAGTCTGTTTTGTCTGATATTAGGATTGCCACCCCTACTTTTTTTCTGTTTCCCATTTGCTTGATAGATTTCTCTTCATTCCTCTATCTTTGAGCCTATGGGTGTCTTTGCATGTGAAATGGGTCTCTTGAAGACAGCATACCATTGGGTCTTGCTTCTTTATCCAATTTGCCACTCTATGACTTTTAACTGAGACACTTAGTCCATTTACATTTAAGGTTATTATTGATATGTGTGGATTTGATCTTGTCATTGTATTTTTAACTGGTTATCATGCATACTTGCTTGTGTGGTTGCTTTACAGTGTCACTAGTCTGTGTACTTAAGTGTGTTGTTGTAGTGGCCAGTAGTGATCTTTCCTTTCCATATTTAGTACTTCTTTCAGGAGCTCTTGTAAGGCAGACCTGGCAGTAACAAATTGCCTCCAAATTTGCTTCTCTGTAAAGGATCTTACTTCATCTTTGCTTATGAGGTTTAGTTTGGCCAGATATGAAATTATTGGTTGGAATTTCTTTTCTTTAAGAATGTTGAATATAGGCCCCCAATCTCTTCTGGCTTGTAGGGTTTCTGCTGAGAGGTCCACTGTTAGTCATGGGTTTCTCCTTTTAGGTGACCTGTCCTCTTTCTCTAGCTGCCTTTAACATTTTTCTTTCATTTCAACCTTGGAGATGATTATGTCTTGGGGATGGTCTTCTTGTGAAGTATCTTGTGGGGTTCTCTGCATTTCCTGAATTTGGATGTTGACCTCTCTAGCTAGGTTGGGGAAGTTCTCATGAACAACATTCTGAAATATGTTTTCCAAGTTGCCCCCTTTCTCCCCATCTTTTTCTAGGACCTCAATGAGTTATAGATTTGTTCTCTTTACATAATGCTACAATTCTCTGGGGTTTTGTTCATTCATTTTTGTTCCTTTTTCTTTATCCTTGTCTGACTATCATATTTCAGAAAGCCAGTGTTCAAGTTCTGAAATTCTTCTCTCAGCTTGGTATATTCTGCTGTTAATACTTGCAATTGCATTATGAAATTCTTGTAGTGTCTTTTTCAGTTCTATCAGGTCAGCTACATTATTTCTATATTGGCAATTTCATCTGTCAGCCCCTGCATCATTTAATTGTGATTCTTAGCTTCCTTGCATTGGGTTTCAATGTTCTGAATCTCACTGCTCTTCATTCCTATCCATATTCTGAATTCTATTTCTGTCATTTCAGCCATCTCAGCCTGATTAAAAAACCTTGCTGGAGAATTACTGTGATTGTTTGAAGGAAAGAATGCACTCTGGCTTTTTGAGTTGCCAGAGTTCTTATGCTGTTTCTTTCTCATTTGTGTGGGTTAATGTTTCTTCAGTCTTTGAAGTTTCTGTCCTTTGGATAGATTGCTTTGATTTTTTTCTTCTTTGATGCCCTTGGAGTTTTGATAAAGATATAAGGTGGGTTTCATTGACTGGCTTCAATACTAATCTGCTCCTGGGTCTTGGAGGAACCCCCTCCAATTACTGTCTTTGGGCCCATGTTTCTTTTCTTGAGAGTTCTGGTCCACAGGGCTCCCTCAGGCTGGGGATAAAGTTGCCCAAGTTGTGTCCTTGTCAGGTTGCCCCTAACTTGCCATTTTTTTGCTTCCTGGGACAACATATGGTTATGTCCACCCACAAAGTTCAGCTGGATGTGAAACTGCTGGGTTGGAAACTCCAATGGATGTGGCCCATCTGGCTATGGGAATGAGTGTGGGTGGGGTTGCCAGTCTTACTGTTTAGGTTTTTCCAGGGCAATAGGGGGCTGTGCCCCCTGGGCACATTCAGGCAGATGTAGAACAGTTGGATTGGATGCTCTAGTAACTGTTGTCCACCTAGATATTAGTAATGGGGTTCCATAGGTTTATGCACCCTGACACTGGGACAAGAGAAGGCTGCACCCTTCAGCTGAGTTCACACAGAAGTGGGGCTATTGGGTCAAAAGCTTGATGAAGTGTTGCCCACCTGGCTACCAGCAGTCAGGGCAGTTGGGGACTCATTCTTTATCATCCAGGTGTTTCCTGGAACATCAAAAAGCTGTGCCCTCTAGTCAAGCTCACACAGAAGCAAGGCCACTGGGATAGAAGCTGTAGTAGGTGTTGCCTGCCTGGATACCAGTGGTGGGGGTAGGTGGGCTCTCATGCTCTGCTGTCTGAGTGTTTCCTGTGACAACAGGAAGTGGCACCCTCCAACTAAGTTAACTAAAAAAGCATGCCTACTGTTCTGGAAGCTCTAGAAGGCTTTGCCTACCTGGCCACCAGTGGCAGAGGCAGGTGGGGTCTCGGGCTCTGCCATCCAAGTGTTTTCCACTACAACAGTAAGCTGCACCCTCCAGCTGGGTTTATGCAAAAGCAAGGCTGCTACGCTGGAGGCTCTAACAGCTGTCACCCCCACTGGCTACTAGTGGCAGGCATGGGTTGGGTCATTTGCTCTGCCATTGGGGTGTTTCCTGTGATAACAGGAAACTGGCCATCCAGCTGAGTTCACATAAAATTGGGACCACTGGGCTGGAGGTTCTAGCAGTTGTTGTCCACCTGGCTACCAATGGCAGGGGAGGGTGAGCTCTCATGCTATGCCGTTGGGGTATTTCTTGTGACCACAGGAGCTATGCCCTCCAGCTAAGCTCACACAAAAGCAAGGCTTTTGGGCCAGAAGCTTTAGAAAGTGCTGCCCACTCCTACCAGGGCAGAGTGGGTGGGGTCTCATGCTCTGCCATTAGGGTGTTGCCTGTGAAAAGAGAAAGCTGCTCCTTCCAGCTGAGTTCACACAAAAGTGGGACCACTGAACTGAAGGCCCCAGCAAGCATTACCCAGCTGGATATCAGTGGCAGAGATGGGAAGGGTAGCCAGATGAGTTCAGGCCAAAGCAGCACTGCTGGGCTAAAAGCTGGTGCTGAGCCCTGGCCCTGAGCAGTGGTGGAGCAACGTGGCACTGCACCTGTGGCCTCTGTTGGAGATGTGGCACCACTGCTGGTCTGCTCCAGGGCCCAAGGCTTGTGGAAGTCCCACTGGACTCAGGAGTTGCCCCCACAAAATGTCCAGGTGTCTCTCTGCCTCAGTCTAGAATCATGGTGGGGGTGGGTGCGTGGGAGGGCCAGGGTGGTTCTCCCATTCCAGTCTTACACAGGTGCCTCTGAAAGTGTGAATCCCCCTGAAGGCTCTCATTCACTCACCCTTTCCTGTGTTGAAGAGGTTTTCCTGGCTCTGTGCTGAGCCCAGACAGGCTGACGCTCAGCTTTGCTCCTCTCTGTTCTCTGTGTTTCTTTGCTGCCCTGGTGGATCCTGCTGTGGTTTCTCAAATAATAGGCCTGCAGAGTCTATGTTCAGTAGCCCTTCAATTTTCTCTCTGTGAGAGTGGTGAACATGAGCTCCTTCTAGTCAACAGTCTTAGCCCTGCCACCCCGAATATTTTAATTAGTAAAGGAACATTATTTATGCTTCAGCTAATTAAAATTCAATCAACCTTAGTTTAAGATTGAATTTATATATTTTAGGAATCTCCTGTTTAATGGTTAAATTATCTGTCAGTTAACAAATCTCTCAATTCATATTCTCTGAGTCTTTCAGAGAAATAGTCCCAAACTAAGGCTAAATCCAATCTCTTTGTCTAGGTGGTTTCTGTAGCCCGCATGACAGATGAACCTTCATCTAGAAATAATACTCCTTTCTCCCTGCTTTTCACAGCAAGTTTACAGATCAATGGCTCTAGAGGCTGAAAAAACAGCACTGGAATATAGGAGTACTCACAGTAGCATTTTGTGACAGCTAGTTGACACCTCTACCTTAATCCCATGATGACTCTAGGACTCTTCCATAAAGGACCCACTAGTCCCAAATGCTTTCCAATCCATTTTGGCCTGCCTCCCTACCAAACATTCTATGCATGTACGTAAGTTATTAGCTACCCAGAAAGAACATTTAGGCTACCCAGAAGATGACATAGACAAGAATATTCTTCCATGAACTTAGAAATCATATGTTTCCATGAGTGTAGGGGAAGATAGAACTCATTAAAACTCAATTTAAGTACTTTTTGTAGTGATTTATTTTATAACCTCAGTTAAGCCAGCAGTAGTTTTTTTGAGCAGTCATTTTATTACTTAATTTGTTAGCCTTCATATGCAAAATATGCTATAGCCAGACATGCACAGCCCAACGTGTACAGTAAATCAATTATTTAAGAGTAGTTACAGTCTAGAGTCTATAAAAAGTGACCACAATGATTCATAAAACACAGTTGTCTTTAAGAGCATATTTACCTTATCATGAAGTGAAACAAACTGATATGTGAAAATTGACCATGAATTCAGAAAATAAAATAATACTGTCAGGTATATAAGATCCCAGCCATGGCTGCATTCTCAGTGACAGCCACCAGTAAATTTGTTCTCTGACAAATATAAAGACACATATTCAAGCCTTTTCCTGAACTACACTTACATTGCTGATGATTGTCAATAATACAGAGTAAAACACCATTACAACATGGTTTTTAGAGAAATGGAGCAAGATGGCAGAATACAAGGCTCCACCAATCATCCCCCTCTACAAGTACACCAAGTTAACAACGATCTACAGAGAAAAAAAAAATCTTTATAAGAACAAAAAATTAGGTGCACATTCATAGAACCTGATTTTAACTTCATATCACTCAAAGAGACACTGAGGAGATAGAAAAAACAGTCTGAAGTCACTGATGACACCCCTCTCTTACCTCCAGTGGCAGCATGGTGTGGAGTGCAACTCTGGGCACTAGAGGAGAGAGAACACAGTAATTGTGAGGCATTGAACTCAATGTTGTCCTGTTAAAGCAGAAAGAAAAACCTGATCAAACTCAGCTTATGCCTGCCCTTGGAGGGCACATGTAAACCAGCCCTAGCCAGAAGAGAATCACCAATCCCAGTGGTTGGAGTGTGAGTTCCTGCAAACATCACCGCTGAGGCTACTGCACCCTGTGTCTCAAAGTAAATTTGAAAAGTAGCCAAGGCCATAAGAAATGCAACTCCTAGGTGAGTCCTAGTGCTGAACTAGGCCATAGACTGTGATTTGTGTGGGGGGACATGTGACATACTGAAACACCAACTAGGGAAGTCAAGGAAATGCTGGCATCACCCCTCCCCTAACCCCAGGCTGCACAGCTCACAGGTCCAAAAGAGACCCCTTCCTTTTTCTTGAGGAGAAGAGATGGAAGAGTGGGAAGGACTTTGTCTTGCATCTTGAATACTAGCACAGTCACAGCAGAATAGGGCACCAGATAGAGTCATGATGCCCCCATTACAGGCCTTAGCTTCCAGACGACATCTCTAGACACACCTTTTGCCAGAAAGGAACCTGCCGCCTTTAATGAAAAACCTAGTCATGGCAGCATTCATCATCTGCTAACTGAAGAGCCCTTGGGCCGTGAATAACCAGCAGTGATACCCAGGTACTATATCAAGGGCCTTGGGTGAGCCCCTGAGGCTTGCTGGCTTCATGTGAGACTCAGCACATTACTAGCTATGGTGGCTATGAGGCAAAACTTCTGCTTGAGAAAAGCAGAGGGAAAAGTAAATGGACTTTGTCTGACACCTTAGGTACCAGCACAGGCACAGTGGGACAGAGCACCAAGCAAGTTCCTAGGGTCCCTGATTCCAGGTTGTGACTCTTGAATGGCATTTCTGGACCTGCCCAGGGACAGAGAAGAGCCCACTACCCTGAAGGGTGAGTCCCAGGCCAGACAGCATTCACCACAAACTGACTTAAAAGCCCATGGGCCTTAGAGGAACATTGGCTGGTAGACTGCCAGTACTCCTCATGGCCTGAGATGGCAGTGGCTACAGAGTGAGGCTACTCTGCCTTTTGAAAGGGGAGTGAAGAGTGGGAAGGTCTGCATCTAGTGGTTTGAGTGTCAGCTTAGCTGCAATACAACAGAGCAGCAGGTAGACTTCTAAGGTTTTTTACTCTCATCCCTGACTCCCAGACAGCATTTCTGAACCCAAATGGGGACTGGGGCCCTCACTGTCCTGATAGGAAAGACACAACCCTGGCTGGCTTTGGTACCTGTTGAATGTAGAGCCCCAGGGCCTTGAGACAACATATGCAGTAGCCAGAAAGTGGTTACAGCAGGCATTGGGCAAGACCCAGTGCTGTGCTGGCTTCAGGTCTGACTCAGATCTGAAGGACAAGGATACCCACTTTCACCACTGTTACTCAACATAGTACTGGAAGTCTTAGCTAGAGCAATCAGACAAGACAGAGATTAAAAGGGCATCCCAATTGGAAAGGGAGAAATCAGATTATCCTTATTTGCAGATGATGTGATCTTATATTTGATAAAACTTGAAGTCTCCACAGGAAAACTATTAGAACTGATCAACAAATTCAGTAAAATTTCAGGACAAAAATTTAACATACAAAAATCATCAGCATTTCTATATGCCAATAGCAAAAATGTGAAAAAGAAATGTTGAAACTAATCCCATTTTCATTAGCTACACATAAAATTAAATACATAGGAATTAACCAAAGAAGTGAATGATCTCTGTAATAAAAAGTAAAAATACTGATAAAAGAAATTGAAGAGGAAACAAAAAAATAAAAAAATTATATGTTCATGAATTAGAAGCAGCAATATTCTTAAAATGTCCATACTATACAAAGCAATCCACAGATTCAGTGCAATCCCTATCAAAATACCAATGACATTCTTCACAGAAATAGGAAAAACAATCCTGAAATTTATATAGAACCACAAAGAACCCAGAATAGCCAGAGCTATCATAAACAAAAAGAACAAAACTGGAGGAATCATATTACCTGACTTCAAATTTTACTACTACAGAGCTATAGTCACCAAAACAGCATGGTACTGGCATAAAAACACATACATAGATGAATAGAAACGAATAGAGAACCTAGAAATAAATCCATCCATTAACAGTGAACTTATTTTCAACAAAGGTGCCAAAACATACACTGTGGAAAAGACAATCTCTTTAATAAACAGTGCTTTAAAAAGTAAATATTCAGGCCAGGTACAGTGGCTCAAGCCTGTAATCCCAGCACTTTGGGAGGCTGAGGTGGGTGAATCTTCTAAGGTCAGGACTTCTAGACCAGCCTGGCCAACATGGCAAAACCCCAACTCTACTAAAAATACAAAAATTAGCTAGGTGCGATAGCAGGCGCCAGTAATCCCTGCTACTCAAGAGGCTGAGGCAGGAGAATCCTTCAACCCGGCAGGTAGAGGGTGGAGGTTGCAGTGAGCTGAGATTGCGCCAGTGCACTCCAGCCTGGGCAACAGAGTGAGACTCGGTCTCAAAAGAAAAAAAAAAAAAAACATAAAAATAAAAAGTAGGGCCGGGCACGGTGGTTCACGCCTGTAATCCCAGCACTTTGGGAGGCCGAGGCAGATGGATCACCTGACGTCGGTAGTTCGAGACCAGTCTGACCAACATGAAGAAACCCTGTCTCTACTAAAAATACAAAATTAGCCGGGAGTGGTGGCGCATGCCTGTAATCCCAGCTACTCGATAGGCTGACGCAGGCAAATCGATTGAACACAGGAGGTGGAGGTTGCCGTGAGCCGAGATCCTGCCATTGCACTCCAGCCTGGGCAACAAGAGTGAAACTACGTCTCAAAAATAAAAATAAAAAATAAAAATAAATAAAAAGTGTATATTCATATACAGAAGAATAAAACTATACCCTTATCTCTCACTATATATAAAAATCAAATCAAAATGGATTAGAGTCTTAAATCTAAGACCTCAATCTATGAAACTACTACAAGAAAACATAGGGGAAACTCTACACGACATTCTGGGCAAAAATTTCTTGAGCAATACCCCCACAAGCACAGGCAACCAAAGCAAAAACAGACAAATAACATCAAGTTAAGAAGCTTCTGCACAGCAAAGAATACAATGAATGAAGAGACAACCCACAGAATGGAAGAAAATATTTGCAAACTAACCATTTGACAGGGAATTAATAACCAGACTATATAAGGAGTTTAAACAACTGTATAGAAGAAAATCTAATAATCTAATCAAAAAATGGGAAAAGATTTGAATAGGCATTACTCAAAAGAAGACATACAAATTGCAAACAAGCATATGAAAAAGTGCTCACCTCATTGATCATCAGAGAAACGCAAATCAAAACTACAATGAGATATCATCTCAACCCCCATTAAAATTACTTATATACAAAAGACAAGCAATAACAAATGCTGGTGAGGATGAGGAGAAAAAGGAACTCTTGTACACTGTTGGTGGAAGTGTAAATTAGTACGACCACTATGGAGAACAGTTTGGAGGTTCCTCAAAAAACTAGAAATTGAGCTACCATATGATCCAGCAATCCCATTGTTGGGAATGTACCCAAAAGAAAAACAATTAGTATATCAAAGGGATATCTGCACTCCTATATTTCTCGTAACACTGTTTACAATAGCCAATATTTGGAAGCAATATAAGTGTCCATCATCAGATAAATGGATAAAGAAAATGTGGTACATATATACAATAAAATATTATTCGGCCATAAAAAGAATGAGATCCAGTCAGTTCAAACAACATAGATGGAACTGGAGATCATTATATTAAGTGAAATGCGCCAGGCACAGAAAAGCAAACATCATATTTTATCACTTATTTGTGGGATTTAAAAATTGAAACAATTGAACTTACGGTCATAGAAAGCAGTTACCAGAGGCTTGGAAGTGTTGTGAGGGCCTTTGGTGAGCTGAGAATGGTTAATTAATACAAAAATAATAGTTAGAAAGAATGAATAAGACCTACACTTTGATAGCACAATAGGGTGATGATAGTCAATAATAACTTAATTGTATATTTTAAAATAACTTCAAGAGTGTAATTGGATTGTTTGCAACTCAAAGGATAAATGCTTGAGGGGACAGCTACCCCATTCTCTAAGATGTGCTTAGTTAACATTGCATGCCTATATCAAAACATCCCACATACACCCTAAATATATGCAACTACTATGTACCCACAAAAGTTAAAAATAAAAAAATTAAAGATTCCTGAAAATATAATTGTAACATAAAAAATAAAATCATTTAGAATGGTTTGCTAGTCAATTTTTTCCACTTTATAAAATCAAATTATGTTTTCTATGTATGTAAACATAGTACATCTATTCATTATAGTATAGTGTCCTCCTTTGATGCCAACATTACAAAGGTATGAAAGCAATTATTTTTATAACTGAATATTTATATCTCATTGAAGCTTATTCCTAGACACTGTTCTGTATTTGAAGTAATTTTGATTCAATTTATTGTCATATCTGCATTGTAAAAGTGACAGGTTTCAGGCTAAACATCAAGAATACATAGAGGATAAGAGCTAAGCTTCTTAACATTACATATATAGGTCTCCATGATCTGACCTCTGCCTAATTCTCCAGCCTCATCTCTCACCTTCTCCTGCTTCACACTTTAAAATTCCAGTGAAACTCAACTGCTTACATTACCTCTCCACATGTACAGTACCTCCCTTCTAAATCTTTGCTCATATTGCTCCCTCCATCCCTCCATGCCACCATATCAAGGTAATGCTGGCATTAGGGAATGAGGTAGAAAGTGTTTTCTACTCTTGGCCGGGCGTGGTGGCTCACACCTGTAATCCCAGCACTTTGGGAGGCTGAGACGGGCAGATCACGAGGTCAGGAAATCCAGACCATCCTGGCTAACACAGTGAAACCCAGTCTCTACTAAAAGTACAAAAAAAAATTAGCAGGGCGTGGTGGCAGGCACCTGTAGTCCCAGCAACTCAGGAGGCTGAGGCAGGAGAATGGTGTGAACCCGGGAGGCAGAGCTTGCAGTGAGCCGAGATCGCGCTGCTGCACTCCAGCCTGGGCGACAGAGTGAGACTCTGTCTCAAAAAAAAAAAAAAAAGAGAGAGAAAGTGTTTTCTATTCTTGAGGCTGTTGAGATGGCCAAATAGGAACAGCTCCGGTCTGCAGCTCACAGCAAGATCGTCCCAGAAAGCAGGTGATTTCTGCATTTCCAAGTGAGGTACCTGGTTCATCTCACTGGGGCTGGTCAGACAGTGGGTGCAGCCCATGGAGGGCAAGCTGAAGCAGGGTGGGGTGTCACCTCACCCAGGAAGTGCAAGTGGTCAGGGAATTTTCTCCCCCACCCAAGAGAAGCCATGAGGGACTGAGCCTGAGAAACTCTGCCACAGATACTGCGCTTGTCCCACGGTTTTCACAACCCGCAAACCAGGAGAGTCCCTCCGGTGCCTACCCCACCAGGGCCCTGGGTTTCAAACACAAAACCAGGCAGCCATTTGGGCAGACACCAAACTAGCTGCAGGAGTTCATTTTTTCCATACCCCAGTGGCGCCTGGAACGCCAGCAAGACAGAACCATTCACTCCCCTGGAAAGGGGTGCTGAAGCCAGGGAGCCAAGTGGTCTGGCTCGGCAAGTCCCACCCCCATGGAGCCCAGCAAACTAAGATCCACTGGCTTGAAATTCTCACTGCCAGCACAGCAGCAGCCTGAGATCTACCAGGGACGCTCAAGCTTGGTAGGGGGAGAGGCATCCACCAATGCTGAGGCTTGAGTAGGTGGTTTTACAATCACAGTGTAAACAAATCCACTGGGAAGTTCCAATGGGGCACAGCCCACTGCAGCTCAGCAAGGCTGCTGTGTCCAGATTGCCAAATTTCCCTTCTCTGTGCAGGGCATCTCTGAAAATAAGGCAACAGCCCCAGTCAGGGACTTATAGACAAAACCCCCATCTCCCTGGGACAGAGCACCTGGGGAAAGGGGTGGCTGTGGGCGCAGCTTCAGCAGACTTAAACGTCCCTCCCTGACGGCTCTGAAGACAGCAGCAGACCTCCCAGCTCAGTGTGCGAGCTCTGCTAAGGGTCAGACTGCCTCCTGAAGTGGGCCCCTGACCACCATGTATCCTAACTGGGAGACACCTCCCAGTAGGGGCCGACAGATACCTCACACAGGAGAGTTCTGGCTGGCATCTGACAGGTACCCCTCTGGCACAAAGCCTTGAGAGGAAATATCAGGCAGCAATCTTTGCTGTTCTGCAGACTCCGCTGGTGACACCCAGGCAAACAGTGTCAGGAATGGACCTACAGCAAACTCCAGCAGACCAGCAGCAGAGGGACCTGACTGTCAGAAGGAAAACCAACCAACAGAAAGAAACCAACCAACCATTCAAAGACCCCATTCGAAGGTCACCAACATCAAAGCCCAAAGGTACATAAATCCACAAAGATGGGGAGAAACCAGCACAAAAAGCTGAAAATTCCAAAAACGAGAACACCTCTTCTCCTCCAAAGAATCACAACTCCTTGCCAGCAAGGGAACAAAACTAGATGGAGAATGAGTTTGACAAATTCACAGAAGTAGGCTTCCGAAGGCAGGTAATAACAAACTCCTCTGAGCTAAAGGAGCATGTTCTCACCCAATGCAAGAAAGCTAAGAACCTTGAAAAAAGGTTAGATGAATTGCTAACTAGAATAACAAGAGTAGAGAAGACCATAAATGACCTGATGAAGCTGAAAACTACAGCACGAGAACTTAGTGAAGTATACACAAGTTTCAATACCTGAATTAATCAAGCAGAAGAAAGGATATCAGTGATTGAGGATCAACTTAATGAAATAAAGCATGAAGACAAGATTAGAGAAAAAAGAACAAAAAGGAATGAAAAAAAGCCTCCAAGAAATATGGGACTACATGAAAAGACCAAGTCTACATTTGACTGGTGTACCTGAAAGTGACGAGGAGAATGGAACCAAGTTGGAAAACACTCTTCAGGTTATTATCCAGGAGAACTTCCCCAACCTAGCAAGACAGGCCAACATTCAAATTGAGGAAATACAGAGAACACCACAAAGATACTCCTTGAGAAGAGCAACCCCAAGAAACATAAACATCAGAATCACCAAGGTCGAAATGAAGGAAAAATGTTAACAGCAGCAAGAGAGAAAGGTCAGGTGACCAATAAGGAGAAGCCCATCAGACTAACAGCAAATCTCTCTGCAGAAAACCTACAAGCCAGAAGAGATCGGGGTCCAATATTCAACATTCTTAAAGAAAAGAATTTTCAACCCAGAATTTCATATCCAGCCAAACTAAGCTTCATAAGCAAAGGAGAAATGAAATCCTTTACAGACAAGCAAATGCTGAGAGATTTTGTCACCACCAGGCCTGCCTTACAAGAGCTCCTGAAGGAAGCACTAAAGATGGAAAGGAATAACTGGTATCAGGCCCTGCAAAAACATACCAAATTGTAAAAAAACATAGACACTATGAAGAAACTGCATCAACAAATAGGCAAAACAACCAGCTAGCATCATAATGACAGGATCAAATTCACACATAACAATATTAACCTTAAATGTAAATGGGTTAAATGACCCAATTAAAAGATAGACTGGCAAATTGGATGAAGAGTCAAGACCCATCAGTGTGCTGTATTCAGGAGACCCATCTCACATGCAAAGACACACATAGGCTCAAAATAAAGGGATGGAGGAATATTTACCAAGCAAATGGAAAGCAAAAAAAAAGCAGGAGTTGCAATCCTAATATCTGATAAAACAGACTTTATTTTTTTTTCTTTTCCTCTGATTTTTTTTTCTATTTTTTTTTAATTATACTTTAAGTTTTAGGGTACATGTGCACATTGTGCAGGTTAGTTACATATGTATACATGTGCCATGCTGGTGCGCTGCACCCACTAACTCGTCATCTAGCATTAGGTATATCTCCCAATGCTATCCCTCCCCCCTCCCCCCACCCCACCACAGTCCCCAGAGTGTGATATTCCCCTTCCTGTGTCCATGTGATCTCATTGTTCAATTCCCACCTATGAGTGAGAATATGCGGTGTTTGGTTTTTTGTTCTTGCAATAGTTTACTGAGAATGATGATTTCCAATTTCATCCATGTCCCTACAAAGGACACGAACTCATCATTTTTTATGGCTTCATAGTATTCCATGGTGTATATGTGCCACATTTTCTTAATCCAGTCTATCATTGTTGGACATTTGGGTTGGTTCCAAGTCTTTGCTATTGTGAATAATGCTGCAATAAACATACGTGTGCATGTGTCTTTATAGCAGCATGATTTATAGTCCTTTGGGTATATACCCAGTAATGGGATGGCTGGGTCAAATGGTATTTCTAGTTCTAGATCCCTGAGGAATCGCCACACTGACTTCCACAATGGTTGAACTAGTTTACAGTCCCACCAACAGTGTAAAAGTGTTCCTATTTCTCCACATCCTCTCCAGCACCTGTTGTTTCCTGACTTTTTAATGATTGCCATTCTAACTGGTGTGAGATGGTATCTCATTGTGGTTTTGATTTGCATTTCTCTGATGGCCAGTGATGATGAGCATTTTTTCATGTGTTTTTTGGCTGCATAAATGTCTTCTTTTGAGAAGTGTCTGTTCATGTCCTTCGCCCACTTTTTGATGGGGTTGTTTGTTTTTTTCTTGTAAATTTGTTTGAGTTCATTGTAGATTCTGGATATTAGCCCTTTGTCAGATGAGTAGGTTGCGAAAATTTTCTCCCATTTTGTAGGTTGCCTGTTCACTCTGATGGTAGTTTCTTTTGCTGTGCAGAAGCTCTTTAGTTTAATTAGATCCCATTTGTCAATTTTGGCTTTTGTTGCCATTGCTTTTGGTGTAAAACAGACTTTAAATCAACAAAGATCAACAGAGACAAAGAAGGGCATTATACAATGAGAAAGGGATCAATGCAGCAAGAAGAGTTAACTATCCTAAATATATATGCACCCAATACAGGAGCACCCAGATTCATAAAGCAAGTTCTTAGAGACCAAAAAAGAGACTTACACTCCCACACAATAATAATGGGAGACTTTAACACCCCACTGTCAATATTAGACTGATCAAAGAGACAGAAAATTAACAAGGATATTCAGGACCTTGCAGACCTGGACCAAGCAGACCTAATAGACATCTACAGAACTCTCCCCCTCAAATCAACAGAAAATACATTCTTCTCAGCACCTCATCGCACTTATTCTAAAACTGACCACATAATTGGAAGTAAAACACTCCTCAGCAAATGTGCAAGAATGGAAATCATAATGAACAGTCTCTCAGACCACACTGCAATCAAACTGGAACTCAGGATTAAGAAACTCACTCAAAACCACACAACTACATGGAAACTGAACAACTGCTCCTAAATGGCTACTGCATAAATAATGAAATGAAGTCAGAAATAAAGATGTTGTTTGACACCAATGGGAATGAAGACACAACACACCAGAATCTCTGGCACACATTTAAAGAAGTGGATAGAGGGAAATGTATAGTACTAAATGCCCAAGAGAGAAAGCAGGAAAGATCTAAAATTGACATGCTAATAACACAATTTAAAAAAAATAGAGATGCAACAGCAAAGAAATGTAATATCTAGCAGAAGACAAGAAATAACTGAAATCAGAGCAGAACTGAAGGAGATAGAGATACGAAAAACCCTTCAAAAATCAATGAATACACAAGCTGGTTTTTTGAAAAGATCAACAAAATAGATAGACCGCTAGCCACACTAATAAAGAAGAAAAAACAGAAGAATTAAATAGAGGCAATAAAAAATGATATAGGGGTATCACCACTGATCCCACAGAAATACCAACTACCATCAGAGAATACTATAAACACCTCTACACAAATAAACTTGAAAATCTAGAAGAAATGGATAAATTCCTGGACACATACACTCTCCCAAGTCTAAACCAGGAAGAAGTCAAATCCCTGAATAAACCAATAACAAGTTCTAAAATTGAGGCAGTAATTAATAGCCTACCCACCAAAAAAAAAGTCCAGGCCTGGACAGATTCACAGCTGAATTCTACCAGAGGTAGAAAGAGGAGCTGGTACCATTCCTTCTGAAACTATTCCAAATAGAAAAAGAGAAAATCCTCCCTAACTAACTCATTTTATGAGGCCAGCATCATCCTGATACCAAAACCTGGCAGAGACACAATAAATAAAGAAAATTTCAGGCCAATATCCCTGATGAACATCCAAGTGAAAATCCTCAATAAGATACCGGCAAACTGAATCCAGCAGCACATCAAAAAGCTTATCCACCATGATCAGGTAGGCTTCATCCCTGGGATGCAAGGCTGGTTCAACATATGCAAATCCACAAACATAATCCATCGCATAAACAGAACTAATCACAAAAACCACATGATTATCTCAATAGATGCGGAAAAGTTGTTCATCCCTGGGATGAAAGGCTGGTTCAACATATGCAAATCCATAAACATGATCCATCACATAAACAGAACCAATCACAAAAACCACATGATTATCTCAATAGATGCAGAAAAGATATTCAACAAAATTCAACACCACTTCATGTTTAAAAAGCTCAATAAACTGGGTATCAATGCAAAGTATCTCAAAATAATAAGAGCTATCTATGACAAACCCACAGCCAATATCATACTGAATGGGCAAAAACTGGAAGCATTCCCTTTGAAAACCGGCAAAAGACAAGGATGCCCTCTCTCACCACTCCTATTCAACATAGTATTGGAAGTTCTAGCCAGGGCAATCAGGCAAGAGAAAGAAATAAAGGGTATTCAAACAGGAAGAGAGAAAGTCAAATTGTCTCTATTTGCAGATGACATGATTGCATATTTAGAAAACGCCATCATCACAGCCCAAAATCTCCTTAAGCTGATAAGCAACTTCAGCAAATTCTCAGTATACAAAATCAATGTGCAAAAATCATGAGCATTCCTATACACCAATAACAGACAAACAGAGGGCCAAATCATGAGAGAATTCCCATTCACAATTGCTACTAAAAGAATAAAATACCTAGGACACAAAAAAATGGAAGAACATTCCATGCTCATGGATAGGAAGAATCAATATCATGAAAATGGCCACAATGCCCAAAGTAGTTTAAAGATGCAATGCTATCCCCGTCAAGCCACCACTGACTTTCTTCACAGAATTGGAAAAAACTACTTTAAACTTCATACGGAAGTTTTAAAAAAGAGCCCGCATAACCAAGACAATCCTGTGCAAGAAGAAGAAAGCTGGAGGCATCACACTACCTGACTTTAAACTGTACTACAAGGCTACAGTAACCAAAACAGCATGATACTGGTACCAAAACAGATATATAGACCAATGGAACAGAACAGAGGCCTCAGAAATAACACTACACATCTACAACCATCTGACTTTTGACAAACCTGCACAAACAAGCAATGGGGAAACCATTCCCTGTAAATAAATGTTGTTGGGAAAACTGGCTAGCCATATTCAGAAAATTGAAACTGGAACCCTTCCTTAGACATTATACAAAAATTAACTCAAGATGGATCAAAGACTTAAATATAAGACCTAGAACCATAAAAATCCTAGAGGAAAACCTGGGCAATACCATTCAAGACATAGGCATGGGCAAAGACTTCATGTCTAAAACACCAAAAGCAACAGCAAGAAAAGCCAAAATTGACAAATGGGATCTAATTAAACTAAAGAGCTTCTGTACAGCAAAAGAAACTATCATCAGAGTAAACAGGCAACCTACAGAATGGGAGAAAATTTTTGCAATCTATCCATCTGACAAAGGGCTAATATCCAGAATCTTCAAAGAACTTAAACACATTTACAAGAAAAAAACAACCTCATCAAAAAGCAGGCAAAGGATATGAACAGACAGTTCTCAAAAGAAGACATTTATGCAGCCAATAGACATATGAAAAAATGCTCATCATCACTGGTCATTAGAGGAATGAAAATCAAAACCACAATGAGATACCATCTCACACCAGTTAGAACGGCAATCATTAAAAAGTCAGGAAACAACAGGTGCTGGAGAGGATGTGGAGAAATAGGAACTGTTTGTGGGAAACAGCTGGAGATGATGTGGAGAAATAGGAACTGTTGGTGGTAGTGTAGATTAGTTCAACCACTGTGGAAGACAGTGTGGCAATTCCTCAAATATCTAGAACCAGAAATACCATTTGACCTAGCAATCCCATTACTGGGTATATAACCAAAGGATTATAAATCATTCTACTATAAAGACACATGCACACATATGTTTACTGCAGCACTATTCACAATAGCAAAGACTTGGAACCAATCCAAATGCCCATCAATAATAGACTGAATAAAGAAAATGTGGCACATATACACCATGGAATACTATGCAGCCATAAAAAAGGATGAGTTCATGTCCTTTGCAGGGACACAGATGAAGCTGGAAACCATCATTCTCAGCAAACTATCACAAGAACAGAAAACCAAACACTGCATATTCTCACTCATAATTGGGAGTTGAACAATGAGAACACATGGATACAGGGAGGGGAACATCATACACTGAGACCTGTTGGGGGTGGGGGGCTAGGGGAAGGATAACATTAGGATAAATACCTAATGTAGATGACGGGTTGATGGGTGCAGCAAACCACCATGGTGTGTGTATACCTATATAACAAAACTGCACGTTCTGCACATGTACCCCAGAACTTAAAGTATAATTTTAAAAAAGTGTTTTTTACTCTTAAATTTTTTGAAGAGTTTGAGGATTGGTTTTCCTTTATATGTTTAGTAGAATTCACCAGTGCAACCATCTTGTCTAAAACTGTTGGCCAGGCAGAATGGCTCACGCCTGTAATCCCAACACTTTGGGAGGCCAAGATGGGAAGATCGCTTGAGCCCAGGAGTTTAAGACCAACCTGGGCAGCATAATGAGACCACATCTCTATGAGTAAATGAATAAATATTTTAAAAATGAAACTTTTTGTTGTAGAGAGGTTTTTGATTACTGATTCCATATTCCTACCAGTTACAGTTCGATCCAGATTTTCTATTTCATTATGATTTAGTCTTTGTAGGCTGTTCTTTTTAGGAATTTGTCCATTTCATCTAATGTATTCATTTTGTTTGCAAATAATTGTTCATACTACTGTCTTATAATACTTTTTATTCCTATAAAATTGGTAATAATGTCCCCAATTTTATTTCTGATTTTATTTATTTTAGTCCTTTCTTTTTTTCTTCATCAATTTTGCTAAAGGTTTATCAATTTTATTGTCTTTTCAAAGAACCGCCTCTTGATTTTGTTGATTTTTCTCTATTGTTTTTCTACTCTGTTTTTTCTTTGTTTGTTTTTTTTTGAGACAGGGTCTTGCTTTGTCACCCAGGCTGGGGTGCCATGGCATGACTGTGGCTCACTGCAGCCTTGACCTCCTAGGCTTGAGTGATTCTTCCATCTAGTCTCCAGAGTAGCTGGAACTACAGGTATGTGGCCATCACACCCACCTAATTTTTGTTTTTCATAGAGACAGAGTCCCACTATGTTGCTTAGGCCGGTCTCGAGTTCCAGAGCTCAAGCAATCCTCCTGCCTCAGCCTCCCAAAGTGCTGGATTTACAGGTGTGAGCCACCATACTCAGCCTCTGTATTTTATCTCTTATCTAATCTTTAGTATATTCTTCCTTCTGCTACTTTTGAGTTGTTTGTTTTTCTTGTTTTAGTTCCATGAGATGTAAAGTTAGGTTGTTTATTTGAGATCTTCTCGTTTAATGTATTAATAAATATTTACAGTTATAAATTTCCCTTCTTGGCACTGCTTTCACTGAATTCCATAACATTTCTTATGTTCTGTTTTCATATTCACTTTTTTCACTTTTTTAACTTTTATTCTGGGTTCAGGGGTATATGTGGAGATTTGTTATATAGGTAAACTCGTGACATAGAGGTTTGTTGTGCAGATTAGCACCCAGGATTAAGCCCACTACCCAATAGTTATTGTTTCTGCTCCTCTCCCTCCTGCTACTCTCCATCCTCAAGTAGACCCCAGTGTCTGTTGTTTCCCTCTCTGCACCCATGAGTTCTCATCATTTAGTCCCCACTTATAAGTGAGAACACATGGTATTTGGTATTCTGTTCCTGCATTAGTGTTAGTTTGCTAAGAATAATAACCTCCAGCTCCATCCATGTTCCTGTAAAGGATATGGTGTCATTCATTTTTATGGCTGCATAGTATTCCATGGTGTATATGTGCCACTAGTATTTATACAATCTGTCATTAATGGACATTTAGGTTGATTCCATGTCTTGGCTATTGTGAATAGTGCTGCAATGAACATTCTTGTGCATGTGTATTTATGGTAGAATTATTTATATTCCTCTGGGTATATACCAGTATGGGATTGCTGGGTCAAATGGTAGTTCTGTTTTTAGCTCTTTGCAGAATTGCCATACTGCTTTGAACAACAGTTGAACTAATTTACACTTCCACCAACAGTGTATAAGTGTCCTCTTTTTTCCACAACCTCACCAGCATCTGTTCTTTTATCTTTTATTAATAGCCATTCTGACTTCTGTAGGATGGTATCATGTTATCTGTGATTTTCGTTTCTCTAATAATCAGTGATATTGAGGTTTTTTTCATGTGCTTTTTGGACACGCGATATGTCTTTTTTGAAAATTGTCTGTTCATGTTTTTGACCACTTTTTAATGGGGTTGTTTTTCTCTTGTAAATGTTTAAATTTCTTATAGATGCTGAATATTAGACATTTGTCAGATGCATAGCTTGCACATATTATTCTGTAGGTTGCCTGTTTAATCTGTTGATAGTTTATTTTGCTGTGCAGAAGCAAAGCTCTTAAGTTTAATTAGATCTCATTTGCCAATTTTTACTTTTGTTGGAATTGCTTTTGGTGTCTTTTTCATGCAACCTTTGCTCATTCCTATTTCCACAATATTATTGCCTAGATTTTCTTCCAGGGTTTTTATATTTTCAGGTTTTACATTTAAGTCTTTAATTTATCTTGTGTTGATTTTTGTGTATGGCACAAGGAAGGAGTCTAACTTCAATCTTCTGCATATGACTAGCCAGTTATCCCAGCACCATTTATTGAATAGCGAGTTCTTTCCCCATTGCTTGCTTTTGTCAGCTTTGTTGAAGATAAGACGGTTATAGATACGCAGCCTTGTTTCTGGTCTATTTGATTTGTTTACATGTCTGTTTTTGTACCAGTACCTTGTTGTTTCAGTTTCTCTAGCCCTATAGTATAGTTTGAAGTCAGGTAGTGTGATGCCCCCAGCTGCTTTTTTTTGTTTGTTTTTGTTTTTGTTTTTTGGTTTTTTGGTTTTTTGGTTTGTTGCTTAGGATTGCCTTGGATATTTGGGCTCTTTTTTGGTTCCATATGAATTTTAGAATAGTTTTTTTCTAGTTCTAGGAAGAATGTCATTGGTAGTTTGATAGAAATATCATTGAATCTGTAAATTGCTTTTGGCAGTATGGGCATTTTAATAGTATTGATTCTTCCTATCCATGAGCATGCAATTTTTATTTGTTTGTGTTTTCTTTAACTTCTTTGAGCAATGTTTTGTAATTCTTGTTGTAGAGATTTTTCACCTCTCCAGTTACCTATACTTCTAGTATTTTTTTTTTTTTTTTTTTTTTTTTTTTTTGCAATTCTCAATGGGACTGTCTTCCTGATTTGGCTTTCAGCTTGGCTATTGGCGTATAGGAATACTACTAATTTTTGTACATTGTGTATTCTGAAATTTTGCTGAAGTTGTTTATCAACTGAAGGAGCTTTTGGACCAAGACTATGGGATTCTCTTGCTATAAGGACTTCTTTTAAACTAATGGGAACAAAGATACAACATACCAGAATCTCTGGGACACAGCTAAGGCAGTGTTAAGAGGGAAATTTATAGCACTAAATGTCCCCATTAATAAGTTAGAAAGATCTCAAATTTACAACCTAATATCACAAGTGAAAGAAGGCCAGGCGTGGTGGCTCATGCCTGTAATCCCAGCACTTTGAGAGGTTGAGGCAGGTGGATCATGAGGTCAAGAGATCGAGACCATCCTGGCTAACATGGTGAAACCCCATCTCTACTAAAAATAGAAAAATTAGCTGGGCATGGTAGCACATGCCTGTAGTCCCAGCTATTCAGGAGGCTGAGGCAGGAGAATCACTTGAACCCAGGAGGCAGAGGTTGCAGTGAGCTGAGACCGTGACACTGCACTCCAGCCTGGCAACAGAGTGAGACTCCATCTCAAAAGAAAAAAAAAAGAATTAGAGAAGCAAGAACAAATCAACCCTGTAGCTAACAGAAGAAAAGTATAATCAAAATCAGGACTGAATGAAGGAAATTGAGACTGGAGAAACCATTCAAAAGATCAACAAATCCAGGAGCTGATTCTTTGAAAAAATTAATATAATGGGCCACTAGCTAGACTAATGAAGAAACAAGAGAAAATCCAAATAAACACAATTAGAAACGATAAATGAGGTGTTACCACTGACCTCACAAAAATAAATATAACTGTCAGAAACTACAAACACCAATTTGCACACAAAGTAGAAAACCTAGAAGAGATAGATAAATTCCTGGACACATACATTCTTCCAAGACTGAACCAGGAAGAAATAGATTCCCTTAACAGAGCAATCATGAGCTCCAAAAATTGAATCGGTAATAAATTACCTACCAACCAAAACAATTACAAGACCAGATGAACTCACAGTCAATTCTACCAGATGTACAAGCAAGAGTTAGTAGCATTACTGCTAAAACTATTCTGCAAAGTTGAGGGGGAGGAGAAACTCCCCCCCTACTCATTCTATGAGGCCAGCATCATTCTGGTAACAAAGCCTCACAGAGACATAACAGAACAAAAGAAAACTTCAGGCCAATATCTTTGATGAACATTGATGCAAAAATCCACAACAAAATACTTGCAAACCAAATCCAGCATCACATCAAAAAGCTACCCCACCACAATCAAGTAGGGTTCATCCCCACAATGTAAGGATGGTTCAACATATGCAAATCAACAAATGCAATTTTGACATAAGCAGAACTAAAGACAAAAACCACATGATTTATCAATAGATGCAGAAAAGGCTTTCAACAAAATTCAACATGTCTTCATGTTAAAAACTCAATTAAACTAGGTATTGAAGAAACATAACTCAAAATAATAAGAGCCTTCTATCACAAACCCACAGCCAACATTATAATGAATGGGTCAAAGCTGTAAGCATTCTCCTTGGAAACCAGCAAAAGAAAAGGATGCCCTCTTTCACCACTTCTATTCAACATAGTATTGGAAGTCCTGACCAGAGAAATCAGGCAAGAGAAAAAGATAAAGGGCATCCACATTGGAAGAGAGAAACTTAAACTATCCTTGTTTGCAGATGACATTTACATTTTTCTTAAAGATATTTTCTCACTTACCTTATGATTTCTTCTTTCAATCTTGATTTTTTAACATGTGTTAATTTCCATATTTCTGTAGATTTTCCAGGTTTCCTTCTACTATTGATATGTAGTTCCATTCTACTGTGATTGGAAGAGGTAATTTGTGTAATTTTAGTATTTTTTTAACTTGTTAAGACTTGTTTTGTACTGAAACATATGGTCTATCCTGCAGAATGTCCCATGTGCATTTCAGAAAAAATGTATATTCTGTTATTGTTGGGTAGAGTGTTCTGAATGTGTCTGTTAAATCCAATTTGTTTATAGTGTTTGAGTCCTATATTTACTTATTGATGTTCTATCTGGTTGTTCTATCCACTATTGAAAGTAGGACATTAAAATCCACCACTGTTACTGTAGAGTTATTTACTTCTTCCATCGATTCTGCCCATGTTTGTTTCATATATTTGGGAGTGCTAATATTTGGTACATATATGTTTATAATCATAAAATCATCTTGGTGAATTGACACTTTTATCAATATATAATGTCCTTCTGTGTATCACTTTATTTCAACTTAAAGAATTCCTTTTAGCAGTTCTGATAGGGCAGGTCTAGTGGCTATTCATCTCCTCACCTTTTACTTAACAGAGAATTTATTAATTTCTTTCTCATTTTTAAGAACTGTTTTGCCATATAAAGAATTCTCAGTTGACAGGTTTGTTTTTATTTCTATCAGCACTTTAAATATATCATCCCACTGTCTTCTGGCCTCCAAGATTTTTGCTGAAAAATTTGCTGATAATTATATGAAAGATCGCTTGTATATAACAACCTGTTTCTCTTACTGCTTTTAAAATTCCCTGTCTTTGGCCTTTGGCAGTTTGTTTGCAAGTGTTTCAGTGTAGGCCTCTCTGGGTTTATCTTAGTTGGAGTGCATAGAAATTCTTGGATTTCTAGATCCATGTATTTACTCAAATTTGAGAAATTTTCAGCCATTACTTCAAATAATTACTCTTCCTATTTCTGTCACTCTTCTCCTTCAGAGAAAACGGCAATGCCTATATAGGTTGGCTTTATGGTGTCCCATAAGTTTCTTGGGCTCTGTTTACT